>NC_000006.12:115373820-115676850 GCF_000001405.40 Homo sapiens
TATGAAAAATAATTTTTGTTTATATCACTTATTATTATAAGTGAACAAAGGCAGATAACAAAATAGAAGTCTGTTAATAATGGTACAGTTAAATAAAATATATTACATTTACATTGCAGAATTCCAAAGAGCCTTTTTTCAGAAAATAGATTTTTGAACGCAGTTCAGCCATAGGGATTACAGGGATAGGATTTTAAGTGAGAAAACAAGGTACAGAGAAGGACATATGATATGACTCCATTTGAGTAAAATCGACAATCATTTGAAAACTCTCCAAAAAATCATTCTTATAACTGCTCTGTGTTATTACCATGTGACCTAAAGTCTCAGTACTGGCAACTCATTTTTCCTCTGGGCCTTCAGATACCTTGCTTTTCCTACACTTCTACTACGTATGATGGATGCTTTACTGATAGATAGCTGTTTAACTCACCATTGGTTTTGATATCTTCCCATAAGAAAATTACCTCAATGAGAATATAAGAAAAAATGATTAAGAGCATGATAATATCCTAGATGGGTATGTAAGAAATGAGGTGTATAGCCATATGAAATCAGTATCTAGACTTAAGCAAATTATATACAATAAAACTATTGAAAGATATATATAATAGTATATTACTGATAGATAATATTCAAGAACTGGATATAAAAGATAACTTTTAGAGATTAAAAAATCTAAATTTTTAAAAACAAACATAAAGTATATGAAAAATATATCTGGAAAATGTAGACAAGTAAATATAACATCCATTCTAGATAATTTTCAAATGGGTGATTTAATTATGACACAATAATAAATGTCTATTCCATTGAAATATCAGAAGATAGTAAGGGTTCCTCCAGAATAAGTGATGTAAAACTAACCTCATTTCCTGACATGGGTATGTCGGGAGAATCCTAAATATAGAGTGTATTCATTTTCTCCAAGAATTTGACAAGGCCTATCATGTTATTCTGTGGTCAAGGTGGAGAAACATTGCAGAGTAGAAATTCTGTTAAATTTATTTAGAATTACTGAAATAGCCATTCCAAAAGGGTTAATTAGTGGATTCATGAAAACTTAGTTATGTTTTTGTGTTTTCTCATAGAAACATTCTTGTTCCTACATATCCCTGACATTAATTAATGTTGTACCTGAATATAAAACATGGAATACATGTTTATCAATTTTCTGAAAAACATAAAACCTGAAGCGATACAATGTATATTAGTTGAAAAGATAAGAAAGAAAAGGATTTCTATTGTTCAGTTATGGAAGTCACGAGGGGTAGATATAAAGCTCCAGGCATGGACTGATAGAATTAACTTCATATGTCTAAGATAAAAGAAATCTAACCTAAGCACAGTTAGTAAGGGGAAAAACAAACTCTTATCTTTAACTGATAGCTGGAATACAAGAACCTTCAAGTCAGAGGGTAAATGGCATGTTAAACATACCATGGTTAAATGTTACTTCATTGGCATGTCATCCAATAAAAATAGTGCTGGATAAGGAGGAAGTTTCAAACTGTATACTACTCCCTGTCTTTGATTCTCAAACAACTCTTATTTACTTGTATTATTCATACCCAACTCAGGTGTTTTAGGTCAACTTCAGTAGCCTTGTATATTCTGGCTTGATAGTACCTTATTATTTCATTCCCAAGCCTTCCCAGATCCTGAATATCTATACATAGATATGAAGACTGGAAAACTTTTTGTGGGATGCTTGAAAACACAAATATAATCAAAATATTTACCCATTTCTTCCATAGGCTAAAACCACCTCAAAAAAGTAGGGAATGTCCCATGACCAAAATAATTCAAGTGCCATTTGGGTGGCCATTACCCAAAATGTAGAATAAACCATTACTGTTCTGGGTGGATGATGGACTCTGTTCTAGTTCAATATTTCTTCTATTTTCTCTTTGATATGACTACCAAGGACATGAATTAACTTCCACTGATTTTCACAGAGTTCTTAATAGTATATTTAATGGAGTAATGACAATTTTTCAAAATGTCTTTCCAAGACTAAAGCCAGGTTATTATATGCCTGGCTGGGTTCTCTTATTGTGGGGACTTCTGTTGTAAAAACAAATGTTGCTGACGCCTTCACTGTGGCCTCTAAAAATGTATGTGTATATCATCCATCAGACTGCCTGGCACATAGTAAGTGAGAGAAACCCAACTCAAACTTGAATTGAAAGAGAAAGAGCGAGAGAAAGTGTGTGTGTGAGAAAGAACTGTATTGCTTATAGTGATAAAAAATTCCAGTGGCATTTTGGCTTCATGCACATATACGTCCAGGTGTTCCAAAAGAGGCTCATGTTTCTATCTCTTTTTCTTGGTTCTGCTGCAATTTGTTATGGCTTCAGTTTCAGGCAGGTATTTTTCCATTTGTGGCAAAGAAAGGCACAAGCAACTCAAGTATGCTTTTATCAATCTTTTTCACTTTTTATTTTGTTTTACCTTTTACCAAACTCTGGGAAAGAAGCATCTCTTTTCTAACAGTTTCAGGAAAAGTCCTCTTGTTATTTTTGCTCTGCACATAATCCTACCTCTGAACCATCACTGTGACTCTTACTAACTGAATCTAAGTCACATGCACACATTTGAAGTCCAGGTCCTGTTCAGCCTTGCTCACATAAAAACTGGGTAGAGGAGATCCCATGTTGTGTTTCTAATATGATTATCTTCTGTGTTCCCTTAAGCTATTAGTGGAATCTATAACCTTGATCAGATTCAGGCTCCTGATATTGTCAAAGTTGCTTCAGAATAATTATAATATTGTCTGATTTTCTCTCTTTCTGATTATTGATTATTGGATTCAAATTTCTGATATGTCTAACATAAAGTTTCCCAACAGCTTTTCATCTAATGTTTTTAACAGCCTATTGATTATCATTTCTTAAATCCTCTATTTCATTGAGTGGTAAAATAGTGAATTTAATTCTGTTATATCCCTTTCCTTTATCAGCTGCAATTTTTACATATGAAAGAATTCTTTCAGTTTTTTGGTTACCCTAAAGGACATTTGTGCTGGAAAAGGCAGGATAAATGCTTGATCTTTTCTCTGTTTACCAGTTTCTAGAAAAATTTGTTGATTCCTTCCTACCCTACATAAATGACCAATAAGAGTTCTTTTTTTAGTATTATGAACTCAGAGATCTTTAACATATTTTGGTAACTTTCAATCCACTGCAGTTGTTATTTTTATTGATGTTTAAACTGTACTATATTTGGCAAGTGGAAGACTCTTCAAGTTAGTTCCTGTCTTCTTTTGACATACCAGTTGTTTTTTGTTTTGTTTTGTTTTGTTTTTCTTTCTGGTGAGGCAAAACTTGTCTTGTTTATTTCTTGTCCTAGAGCTGGAATCAACCATTTCTCTAAGAAGCTTTAGTTCTTTCAGTGGAAAATAATATTTACAGAGCACAATATTAATGTGGCCATGAGCCAAAGAAAGTAGATAGCCTCTTGAGCTGGAAAAGGCAAGGAAAGAGATTCTGTTCTCGAGCCTCCGGAGCCCCACGGACCCAATTTAGATTTCTGACTTCTAGAACTATAAGACAATACGTTTTTGTGCTTTTAAACCCCTAAATTTCAGGTAATTTGTTGCAGTAAGAAACTAACACACTAATGATATCAACATGATTTCTTACCATATGTGTGTGTGTGCATATGCACATATACTTGTAAAACCAACATGCTAATGTTGTAATGATATTAATATTAACATGATTATGAAAACAGATTTATAAGAGTTTTTAAAAATATATTTGATCTTAGAATATAAATCTTGTGAAGGACGTATAGTCAATTACTTATTTTTAATTTCTTTTCAAATAATTTCTCTAATGCATTTAAGCTACCAACTGCATACAATATTAGCTTTATTTGCTTCATTTTGCTTTTAATTTTTTATGAAATGCTTTATTTGTCTCATTTTGTTTTGCTGTTGGTTTGTAATTATATATGTTGTTTTTTCATTATGTTTTCAAAGTCAAACATAAAAACAAGACACTTTTTGGAGAAGTCTGTATTCAGTTCTTGTCTCCTTCATTTGGAATATCCTTCCCCAACTAGCATTTCCACTTACATTACTGGTTCAACAAGATGGAAATATTTTCTGCTTTTCTATCTCACAGTATGATTTTCCTCTTCAAGTTTATTTTTTTTTAATTACTATTTTCTGTTTTCCAAGGGAGTTGTTCTAGAGATTGTATCTTATTCCCCTTATCTCCTTCTTATTTCCCCTCATGAACCAAATCTTTTGTTATTAGCATGTCCACTGATGACTCCTTTTATCCTTCCTTTTTTTTCAATCATCCACAGAGCATTTTTAATATCTATTAGTAAAGTATATGCAAATGCCTGAAAACTGACTACATAGCTTGACACGTCATTCAGCCTAACAAATCATCCATGGGGTGGGAGATATGCAGGGCTCAATAGTATTCAGCCATCCCAACAAGTGAAGAGGAATTGGATATCATTTATTTCAAAGAGTGCTATTTCTTCCTTCTACTTTATCAGATATATTCCTTTTACTTCTTTCAATGTCAATGAATGCTCTCTATCTTTACAAATACTTCCCATCCTTCCCAGGACCTAACATTTTAAGGTGAAAGAACGGATTGGAGTGTGATTTAAAATTATTATTTGGATTTTACTCTGATCGATGTCTCTCTTTGTTTTCTTTATTTTCTTTCCTCTTTCTTCCACATACAGAAGAATTTTATTCAAAATTAAAACAAGTGACATAATAAATCATGTTTAATATCTATGAAAGTCTCAACAACTCCCTCTCAATACATTTTCTTTTCTAACCTTGTATATTCTACAATTGTACTATAATATACCCTTATACCCAGGCTTAGAAATTCAAATCAGCTGCATTACCATTTGCCATATAAATTTATTAATATACATAGGCTAATATTATAATAGGCACTCTACCTCTCCACACACACACACATTTAGTCCCTACAAAGTCAGTATTATTGTTTCGGTTTTACAGATGATGAGACTGAGAATCAGAGAAATTAAATAGTTTGGACAAGTCTGTTAAGATATCAAATAGTAGAAACAGAATTCAAACTAATGCCTCTTAGGCTCTGAAACCAAAGTTATGGACTGAATGCTTGTATCCTCCACCCCCAAATCCACATGTTGAAATCTTAACACCCAATGTTATGTTATTAAGAGCTAGCCTTCAGGAGGTAATTAGGTCATGAGAGTGGAGCCCTCGTGGATGGGATTAGTGCCCTTTAATGAAGAAACACTAGAGTTTGCTGTCACTCTCTGCTCTCAGTCATGTGAGGATACTGTAAGAAAATGGCCATCTACAAACAGGGAAGAGTGCCCTCACCAGATACCAGATCTGCCAGCATTTCAGCCTCCAGAACTGTGAGAAATAAATGTGTGTTGTTTAAGTCACCTGGTCTATGGAATTTGTCATAACAGCCAGAACTAAGACAGCCAATGACTGTGCCAGTTCACCAGGATTTTCAGCTCAAATTTCTAATCATCATATTCAGTTTATTTTACTTTAACAATAATTCTATAAAAAACACAACAGCAACTTTTAATCCATTCCCTATTGGAAGTATTTCAATTCATTGATTAACAATGCATACTCTGAAACCAAATTGCTAGGTTTCAAATCTCAGCTCTGATAAATTTATTCAACCTTGACTAAATTATATATTTCCAATTCACTTAGACTTCCCTTGTACATAAGAAGGTTCTAACAAATATTAATTGTTTTTCAAACAACCATCTTTTTTTGTTGGGTTTTTATTATTTTTCCCAAGAATTACATCAAAACTTTCCTTCTCTCTTTGCCTCTAGTTTCAACCTGACACATTTGACAGAGTAATCTTCCACAAAACACTGACACAAAAATATCAGTATTTACCTGGATTTATATTTGAATCATTTTTGGACTCCTATTAATAGACACTGTGGGGATTATAGCTTTAATTCTTTACTCAAGGACAGGACAGAGGAATGAGTAATAATTGAATGTTAGTGAAAAAATGTGATATGAATTCAATTGCTGATCTTTTAATTTTTTTCATAGAAGATACACCCTAACAAAACCCTCACTCTCTTTTCCAATGGAAGACTCTTACCATCTTGAGAACATTCATACATCCTTTTCTTTTCCAATAGAAAGTAAAGGAAAAACTCTCTTTACAGCATGTGATTTTTAATTATTATTTTTGTTTATTCTTAAAACAGATATATTGATATTCTTAACACTTCTCGATATTTAAAGCAAACTGCTTTCAGAAACAGAAAACTTAGTTTAGATAGATAACTTGTTTGGTGACCTAATTTTTGAAAGTGTTTTTATTTTAATAAAAAATATATTTTATATGTTTTTATATGACTATTAAGGAAGACTCATTTATTCAAAAAAAATAAAAAGGTCCTGTGTGTTCTTGCCCTAACTGCCTTATTAATAAGCCTCCCACTACTCTCCCTCTCTTCAGCTCCCCACCTACAGTTAAGCAATTTAATTCACTTTATCCCAGAGTCTTTTTGCTTTATTGCCATATATGGGCCTAAATTTGAGATGTAACTACTTTTATATATTACCTTGTATTACTTCTATTTTACATTGTGTCATCTTAACTGGATTATAAACTCTGTGGCAGACGTGTGTGGACACACCATCATATATTCATGGCACTTTGAACATAGTGGGTGTGCAATTAATAGTTTTTTAACAATTGAATAAATTGATAAATATATCATGAATAGTTTGAATGTATTATATCTTCTCATCAGATACTGAGCATTTTTATGTATAAGATAAGCCTTTGAATTCTCTCAAATTCGATGTGTTCATAGATATTTAACTGTTATAGAAGGATAGTTGCATTCCAGAAATACAAAGCCCCTCTATTGCTATAGCACTAATAAAAACGCTCAGTGGGTAGCAAATTACTAAATTTTCTGGTAACTTTCTAGCCCATTATTTTTTATTTGTTTCAAGCTGGCAAAAAACTCCTTCATAATATGTTACTGAAACAGTCTTTTCAGCTTATTTTTTGTGAATATATGATGTCTACATTCTGCCTCTTTTTTCTACTTTCCTCCACACTCCCATGCACAAACAGATATACTTGCTAGTTATAGTACTGCAACAGGTCTGTGTCACACATGCACAAAAGGCAACCTGCATGATGACAGAGGCCCATTGCTAGTTCAATATCACATTGCCTATATCCCCAAAATGCCAATGGTCATTCCAATGCCAAAGAACAAGGGGAAAGGATAGAGAGAAGGATACTCAGTATCCTGACAAATTGCCATTGCATAAATTCTTTTGTATATTTTACAAAAATGGTTGCCTATAAAATCGTATTGCTAGGCTGCTACCCAGATCCCTGAGAGGGATTCATGCAAGTGAGGAGCCAAAGCTTAAGCTTCCTTAGCTTTAAAATAAATGTGTTTCTGTGCCAGAGGTCAACTGAGAGGTCCTGAGTGGAGATATAGATTTGGAAGTTATGATATACATATGATAGGCATAACTGTGAGTCAGGATGAGACAATAGGATGTGGATATAAGCTTTCATAGAGAACTGAAGGGGAGCAAGTACTAAAGGCAGAGGGAGGGGAGAGGGGTCCAAAATTAAGATACAAGAGATGAGGAGGAGTGGGCCAAGAAAAGTGAGAAAGAGAAAATGAAACCAACCTGGAAGTCAAGTGAAGAGTTTTTAGAAAAAAGGGTCAGGTTATGCCAAATGCTGTGGATAGCTCCAGCAAAAAAAGACCTACCGATAACCCATTGGATTCAGCAAAGCAAGGTCAATAGTGACGAGTGTGGTTTCAGTGGAATGGTTAGGGACCAGAGCCTGCTTGGAGCTTGTTGAGGAAACAATAAAGAGAGAGGCATCAGAAAAAGTAAATATAGATAACTCTTTTGAGGACTCTTGTTGCAAAGAAATCAGGCTGTTTGGTAAAGTGCTTCAACAAAGGGTGCTGTTTGTAAGCAAGGGGAGAGAAGTGGAGAAGTAACAGGAAGCTTTATGCTTCCAAGAATGACCCAATAGAGAGGGAAAAGTGGTAATGTAGGAAAGAGATGGATGAAAGCTACTAGAATAATGTGTTCTTTGATGTGAGAAAGGATGAGATCTAGTGTCCATGCCGAGGACTGGCTTTAAATTTAGTCCTAGGTAGTTCATTGATAAAAGTGGAGGGAATTACTGAGCACATGGATGCAGATGCTGTAGATGATGTGATATGGTGATATTTTTGTTTTAAAGTGAATTATAAAGCAATTTATCAGCTGCCAGAGGGGGAGGGCTGGCAGGTATTGGGAATTTGAGAAGAGAAGATGGTGAAAGTGGTAACTAGGAGAGTGAACGGAATATCAGTAGACTAAGGAAACATAGAGTCTACGTCCTCATAGATGCTGGCACTTACCTTTATTTTAGCAATTCTCAAGTCGCTTTGCAATTGTGTTTTATTAATCTGTCATCCTCATCAAAATGTGAATTTCATCAGGGCAAGAAAAATCCTTATGATAATTTTTTTGTCTGCTACATTATTTCTCAGCATTTTTCACACCCCCCAAAATAGTATTCACTTACTCATGTGATTTGTTAAATACTTCATAATCCATCAATGTGTATTGAGCTTCATGAAAGCCATAAAGTAACCTTTGGGTAGAGTATTATTATTACACCCATTTATACTCCCTAGAGGCATAGAAGTGTTGGTAAACCGTCTCATAAATTGACAGAGCCAGTTAGAGATGTACGCAGCTTTCAAGTTCGGTTTTTTTATTAGATAAAGTGCTCTCCCAACTAATTTGAACTACAGATAAAGACATTTATTATACCAGGGCTTTAACACTGGCCTGTGGACTCCTGCATAAAGCAAATATAGCTTGAACCCTAACAGCAAAGTATAGAATGGCTTTGTCCTAACAACTGCTTGATCTGTAATAGAGATTCTTAAATGCTTAAAATTGAAATGCAGTGTTAGACAGGGAGCAGTATAACATCCTGCTATCTTGTGAAACCATGCCTGGAATTCAGCTGCACTTACTAAATTTCCCTCTTTTTAACATTGGTGGCAATATATATATAGATAGATTGATAGATATAGATTGATATAAATATGTATTTTATATAAATGTATATTTAATACAAATATATAATATATAAATATAAATATATATTATATATTCATAACATATATGATATAGAGAATTATATATAATGGAATACCATAAAATATATATTTATTCATAGATATAAAACATTAGCAGAAATTTATATTATAGAAATTATATTTTTATATAATTAAATATATATTTATGACCTTATGATGAACTGAGTGTATTGAGTATATTATAGAAATTATATTATTTATATAATTTAATTAAATATATATTTATGACCTTATGATGAATTTTATTAAATATATATATTATATATTTATATATTATATATAATAACATATATAACATAAAATGTTATATATGTATATAACATTTCTGCTGAAACCAAATGAGAAGACTAAATTTTTACATTTTTCTTAAGGGTAGGGCAGAAAGTCACAACCTTAACTTTCAGACCCACTAGGTAGTCCAGAATTAGAAAGAAAAATCCTTTAGACTAAATTCTCATAATAGGGAAAATTTCAGTACAATCTGTTATTGGATGAGTGGCAGATACATAGTGGTTCAGAACACAGATTCTGAAAATGGACTTCCTGAGTTTAAATCCTGGTTCTACCACCAGGCAGCTGGGAATTTGTCCTGTCAATCTAATGTCTCCAAGTTAAAACTGATATCTATGTTATAGGATTAAAGGAGGTTTAAATAAATTAATATATGTAAAGCACTTGAAACAGTGCTAAGCATTTAATAAGCACTATATAGGTGTTAAATAATGCTAGCTATCATATTAATTTTCAATTTTCAAGGATTTAAAGTTGATACCAATAATTCAACATAAGAATTTTTTATCTCCTCATAATTGCCAGAATGCCTATACTTTCGGAAAAACATCCTTTTGAAAATACCTGCAAACATCTTTTTCTCAGTCAGCCACCCAGATGACTTGGATCTCCCTTCACTATCAAACTTGGAATTCATTTCCCTTCTTTCTTGTGCTGAAATCCCTGTTTGTGGATACCATGTTCTTCTTCCTTCTTGGTTTACACTTCCATAATGATGGTACTCATTCTTTCATAAGTAAACTTTTTAAAACTTGCATGGTTTCAAAAATAATTATTGATACATTTGGATTAATAACTCCTGTATTTGTTACTGTATTCTATTTGTTGTCTTGTTCTTTGTTCCTATTTTAGTCTTTCATTCATTTTCTGCCTTTTGTGGTTTTAACTGAGCATTTTGTATTATTTCAATCTCTCTCCTCGCTGTGAATCAATTAAACTTTAAGAATATCATTTTAGTGGTTGTCCTAGCATTGTCATATATATTTACTACTAATTCAAGTCCACTTTCAAATAACACTATACTGCCTCACAGGTACTACAAGTACCTTCTAATAACAAAATATTCCTAATTCCTCACTCCCATCTCTTGCATCTTGGCTATCATTTATTTCACTTATAGGTAAGCCTACATAAGCATATGCATATCATAAACTACATTGTTGCAATTATTACTGTTTTGAACAAACTGTTGTCTGTTAGATCATTAAGATAAAAAACTTTTATTTTACCTTCAATAATCCTGCTATGATGCCCTTCCTTTCTTTATAAAGATATGCATTTCTGATGTGTATCATTTTCCTTCTTTCTAAGGAATATTTGTGTTATATTTTGATTAGTAATTTGCCCCATCCATTAGACAGCTCCAAAAAGTTATAACTCATGTTATTTTACTACATATTTATTTACTTATTTATCTTATTATCATTTCCCAGTACTAAATACATGGTCTGCAACAAGTTAAAATTTAGTACATGTTTCTTGAAAATAAACCACAAATGAATAAAATAATTTGTGTGAAGGGAAATAAAAAGAGTAGTAACTTTAAAGTTGGAAGACCTATGCTCAAATCCTAGCTTTATCGTTTTTAATTGTCACATTGGCAAAATACGTAAGCTCATTGAGGTTCCATTTTCTCATCTGTAAATTGGATACAGTATTGTCTGTCACAACATATTAGAATGTTGTGAGAATATTTTGTGTGAAGATGCTAAGTCTAGCATTCAATTCATCATAAGGTCTTAACAATCACTGGCTGAATCTGTTGAATCATTAAGTGAACCAATTTGTGAAATTTATTGCTGGAGTAACTTGGCCTAGAGCATTTTGGTCAAATGATTAATAATCCTAAACAATATGATTTATATAAATTCGTTCATATACATTCACAGCATAAGCTTAAGGAAGTAACAGGCTGTTGACTGCAATTTGTTTGCAGACTTCCAGCCTTAAGAGTCTTCAATTAGTGGCTTTGTCAAAATATTGTTTGCTATGAAGATCATAGAACTAGAGATTCCTACTTTGTAGTCTTGACTTTTCCTAGAAAAATGTAAAACAAAAAAATTAATTTTGGCTACAAAGCAAGAAATGCATAACATAGAGAGATGTTTACATTAGCAAGTTCAGGATTTATTTTAAGTTTGTCCAAGGAAATACCTGAATAGAGAGTATTTTCCTTGGAATGGTGTTAAGCATCCTGCTTACTAACAGCAAAATTCTGCTACATAAGTGGAGTAAGAAGGTAGAGATGGAAGAATGATAATTTTTAACAAGTCACAAGATAACTTGGAAAAGGGAAGTGTTTATTTCTAGAGAGAATTACGCTAGAAATAATGGAATTGAGAGTGTATGAGAAAGACAAGAACAGAAATTTCTTTTAGAAAGGGTGAAATACAAGGAGTAAAATCTCCAATCTAAACAAAAATCCAGACACCTGAAGCTGTCCATATATATAAAATGTTGGTAAAGAAATGTAATATTACTAATGCACTATTTTTTAAACAGTGTTTCTGAAGGTGTTTATACAAAAGTTTGAACATGTTTCTCATATTTTGACCATAAAATTACTTCCAAAAAAAGAAATTTATATAGAAGGATGTTGATCAGTGTTATTTTAAAAAGGAAAATGGTGAAAAACCCTAAATATTCAACAATGAGATTGGATTATACACCCAAAGAGTATCATACTATACAATCACTAAATACCATGTTGAACAATAATACTCATTGAGAACAGAAAATGTTCATGGTGTTAAAACAAAAAAACAAAAATAACATGTGCAGTGCAATAGTATATCAATGTAATCATAAATACAAACACAAAGGAAAAAGATAGGATTTACACACAAACAGTAATACAAATTATTGATAAGTTGCAAAATTCCTAGTGATTTTAAATGTATTAATATGAGTTTTATAAGTTTAAGTTTTTACAATGAGCAAGTGTCATTTTTGTAACTAGAAAAAAGGTAATGTGATATATATATATATATATATATATATATATATACTATACTTATATTTGTTCAGCAGTATTTGAAAAAGAATTTAAGCCTTATATCTGTCACACACAAAAAAAATTTGTTACACAAGCTGGAATAACATCGATGGAAATGATAAGCTTGAATAGAGGCCTCAAAGGCAGACAATAGAGAAGCAGTATCTGCCTGACTTAATTGGGCTGGATCAATTTTATCACAAAATTCTGAGAGAGATTCAATTACAGATCAAGGCAATATGGTTCCTACAACAGAGCTTTCTCCTTATCAATTTCAGAATAATCGGAGGTTTGAATCCAAAATTCCTAAGTCCACAGAGAAAGGAAAGAGAACATAGAAAAAAAACAGGGCAGTAGATTTCATTGTCATCACTTTAGGTAACAAGAATGTCGTGATTTTGAGAATAAGACCGCAAAAACAATGCAAAGATTTGCAAGTTACCAACATAATAATCAATTGTGTGTCACTCAACTCAGTTGTGATTTTACATTTAGAAACGCAAAATAAATAACTGCAACATACTTCATTGCATTTTCATCCTAGGATAAAAATAAGAATATTCTAGGATATTCTAGGCTATGAATTTAGAAGCATATGCTTCTAAGGCAGGCAATTGATAAAATAAGTTACTTAGGAAAGACAAAATATTTTCCAAAAACTTTCTGGAGATGATTATTTCATCAACATATTCATTAATTTATTCACAAATTTTCACCACCAGTGATGTTCCAAATACTATATGATGTACAAAGGGTAATAATAGTACTTAGTTTATAAGATTACTGTTTTACATGAAGTTATACATGTGAATGTCTTAGTACAGTAAGAGCTCAATAAATGCTAGCTATTAATTTCTACTACTACTAATACTGAAGTCCTAAACTTATTATTTTTTAAGGGATAAAAAGTCTAATAAGATATGTTTCTTAACATTATGAGGACAGCATGATCCTGATACCAAAACCTGGCAGAGATACAACAAAAAAGAAAACTTCAGGTCAATATCCCTGATGAACATCAATGCGAAAATCCTCAATAAAGTAGTCGCAAACTGAATCCAACATATCTTCTAATAAGATACGTTTGTTCCCCGGAGCAACTTGCTATATTGTACTCTCACTGAGATTCTTATAGAACAATCCTAGCTATCTCCATATGATGCAAAAGCTGAAAGAGCCTGGCAATGTAATCATTATATGAACAAAATAGCCGTCCGAGTATGTTTCCTAAATGGTGTCACAACTCTAAACTACTAACTTACAAACTAAAATGCCCCAAGGAAATCCATAATTGACATTGTTTTGTCATCTTTAAACATAAAATTATGAAATTTTACATACTTTAATGTGCTGATCGCTACTTTATATATATATATATATATCTGTGTGTATATATATATATACATTTAGAAACACAAAATAAATAACTGCAACATACTTCATTGCATTTTCATCTTAGGATAAAAACTAGAATATTCTAGGATATTCTATATATATATTCTATATATATTTGTGTGTGTGTCTATATATATATTTGATGAGGAAGGTGGAGGGAAGAAAATGATTTTCTAAGTCATGAAAGCTGAACATGATTAACAAACCACTTCAGTCATTTGGTGTCTCAGCAGTAAGCATTTTCAGGAGAAATTATCAAGTTCTATACTGTGTTTCTATGAGTCTGCATGCTGAGAGGCAAATCTTCTGGCATTTCAATGTGGTAATGTGAAAACTTGGGAGAAATTTTCTACAAAAATAATAAAATTATGAAAGTATAATTTCTATGTAATACCCTCATCACAACACACTGCTTTTCTCATAGGGATTTGTTCTTGGCATGTTATTTCAAGTGTTTCTGATAGTCTCATTTTAAATTACTTATAAAATGGTGGTTGAGGGGCCTGCCTTCATTTCTCAGCCTAGTAAGCATACCTGGTAGAAAAATGTTTCTGGAACTGCTTTGCTTAATTTATTCCAATATATTTAGGAGATAACAGATAAAAAATTAAACACTTCAAAATGATCCCAAGGTTATCTATATAATTTGTTAGATGTTTACAGAGCAATTAAAATTATGACAAAAATATCCAAACATGCCAACATTAGTTAGAACATTGTTTGTATGTTTGAAATTTGCCATAATACATTAAAAACTAGAGGAAGAAATAGCTAAAATAAATATAGTAAATAGTTGGTAGTTTTTAAAGCTGGTAAGAGGTTAAGTTTTGCTATTATTAAGTTCCTTGTAGACTCTGGATATTAGACCTTTGTCAAATAGATAGATTGCAAAAATTTTCTCCCATTCTGTAGGTTGTCTGTTCACTCAGATGATAGTTTCTTTTGCTGTGCAGAAGCTCTTTAGTTTAATTAGATCCCATTTGTCAATTTTTGCTTTTGTTACAATTACTTTTGACATTTTTATCATGAAATCTTTGCCCATGCCTATGTCCTGAATGATATTGCCTAGATTTTCTTCCAGAGTTTTTACAGTTTTGGGTTTTACAAATAAGTCTTTAATCTATCTCGAGTTAATTTTTAGATAAGGTGTAAGGAAGGGGTCCAGTTTCAATGTGCTGCATATGGTTAGCCAGTTCTCCCAGCACTATTTATTAAATATGAGATCCATTCCCCATTGCTTGTTTTTGTCAGATTGTCAAAGATCAGATGGTTGTAGATGTGCAGTTTTATTTCTGAATTCTCTTTTCTGTTGTATTAGACTGTGTCTGTTTTAGTACCAGTACCATTCTATTTTGGTTACTGTAGCCTTGTAGTATAGCTTGAAGTCAGGTAGCATGATGCCTCCAGCTGTATTCTTTGTAGTGTGATGTCTCCAGCTTTATTCTTTTTGGTTGGAATTGCCTTGGCTATATGGGCTCTTTTTGGTTCAATATGAATTTTAAAATTGTTTTTCTAATTCTGTGAAGAATGTCAAAGGTAATTTGATGGAAATAGC
This sequence comes from Homo sapiens, assembly GCF_000001405.40. Classification (NCBI taxonomy): domain Eukaryota; kingdom Metazoa; phylum Chordata; class Mammalia; order Primates; family Hominidae; genus Homo; species Homo sapiens. Next base: position 115,389,231 of record NC_000006.12, read on the forward strand.
ATTGAGTCTATAAGTTACTTTGGGCAGTATGACCATTTTCACAAGAATTTCTAATTCCTTGTTCTCTCTAATTTCCTTGAGCTGTGGTTTATAGTTTTTCTTGAAGAGGTCCTTTACTTCTCTTGTTAGCTGTATTCCTGGGCATTTTATTCTCTTTGTAGCAATTGAGAATGGGAGTTTATTCAAGATTTGGCTCTCTGCCCGTCTGTTGTTTGTGTATAGGGATGCTTGTGATTTTTGCACGTTGATTTTGTATCCTGAGACTTTGCTGAAGTTGCTTATCAGCTTAAGAAATTTTTGGGCTGAGACGATGAGGTTTTCTAGATATAGGATCACATCATCTACAAATAGAGACAATCTGACTTCCACTCTTCCTATTTGAGTACACTTTATTTCTCTCTCTTGCCTGATTTCCCTGGTCGGAACTCCCAGTACTATGTTGAATAGGAGTGGTGAGAGAGGGCATCCTTGTCTTGTACCAGTTTTCAAGGGGAATGCTTCCAGCTTTTGCTCATTCAGTATGATATTGGCTGTGGGTTTGTCATAAATGGGTCTTATTATTTTGAGATATGTTTCTTCAATACCTAGTTTATTGAGAGTTTTTAACATGAGGGAATGTTGAATTTTACCAAAAGCCTTTTCTGCATCTATTGAGATAATCATGTGATTTTTGTCTTTAGTTCTGCTTATGTGATGAATTACCTTTATTGATTTATGTATGTTGAACCAGCCTTGTATCCCAGGGATGAAGCTGACTTGATTGTGGTGAATAAGCTTTTTGATGTGCTGCTGGATTCAGTTTGCCACTACTTTATTGAGGATTTTCGCATTGATGTTCCTCAGGGATATTGACCTGAAGTTTTCTTTTTTGTTGTATTTCTGCCAGGTTTTGGTATCAGGATCATGCTGTCCTCATAATGTTAATTAGGGAGAAGTCCCTCCTTTTTAATTGTTTGGAATAGTTTCAGAAGAAATGGTACCAGATCCTCTTTGTGCCTCTGGAAGTATTCAGCTATAAATTCGTCTGGTCCTGGGCTTTTTTGGTTGGCTATTTATTACTGCCTCAATTTCAGAACTCATTATTCGTCTATTTGGGGATTCAACTTCTTCCTAGTTCAGTTTTTTGAGTATGTATGTGTCCAGGAATTTATCCTTTTCTTCTTGATTTTCTAGTTTATTTGCATAGAGTTGTTTACAGTATTCTCTGGTGGTTGTTTTTATTTCTGTCGGGTCAGTGGTGATATCTGCTTTATCATTTTTTATTGTGTCTATTTGAGTCTTTTTTCTTCTTGATCAGTCTAGTTAGAGGTCTATCTATCTGATTTTTTTTTTTTTTTTTTCAAAAAAACAGCAACTGGATTTGTTGTTTTTGGAAGGGCATTTCATGTCTCTATCTTCATCAGTTCCACTCTGATCTTGGTTATTTCTTGTCTTCTGGTAGCTTTGGGGTTTGTTTGCTCTTGGTTCTCTAGTTCTTTTAGTTGTGATGTTAGAATGTCAATTTGAGATTTCTCTAGATTTTGCTGTAAGCATTTAGTGCTATGAATTTCCCTCTGAACACTGCTTTAGCTATGTGCCAGAGATTCTGGTATGCTGTCTCTTTGTTCTCATTAGTTTCAAAGAACTTCTTGATTTCTGCCTTAATTTCATTACTTACCCAGGAGTCATTCAAGAGCAAGTTGTTCAATTTCCATGTAGCTGTATGGTTTTGAATGAGTTCCTTAAGCTTGAGTTTCAGTTTAGTTGCACTGTGGTCTGAGGGACTGTTATAATTTCAGTTTTTTTGCATTTGCTGAGGAGTGTTTTACTTCCAATTATGTAATCGATTTTAGAATAAGTTCCATGTGGTGCCAAGAAGAATGTATATTCTGTTGTTTCAGGGTAGTGAGTTCTGTAGATACCTATCAGGCCTACTTGATCCAGGGCTGAGTTCAAGTCCTTAATATCCTTCTTAATTTTCTGTTTCAATGATCTGTCTAATATTAACAGTGGGTTATTAAAGTATCCCACGATTATTGTATGGGAGTCTACATCAACTTCAGAACTTGTTGTTGGTCTATTCAGGGAATCAGCTTCTTCCTGGTTTAGCTTGGGAGGGTGTATGTGTCCAGGAATTTATCAATTTCTTCTAGATTTGGTAGTTTATTTGCATAGAGGTGTTTACAGTATTCTCTGATGGTAGTTTGTATTTCTGTGGGATCAGTGGTGATATCCCCTTTATCATTTTTTGTTGTGTCCATTTGATTCTTCTCTCTTTTCTTCTTTATTAGTCTGGCTAGCAGTCTATCTATTTTGTTAATCTTTCAAAAAACCAGCTCCTGGATTCATTGATTTTTTGAAGAGTTTTTCGTGTCTCTATCTCCTTCAGTTTTGCTCTGATCTTAGTTATTTCTTGTCTTCTGCTAGCTTTTGAATTTGTTTGCTCTTGCTTCTCTAGTTCTTTTAATTGTGATGTTAGGGTGCCGATTTTAGATTTTTCCCGCTTTCTCCTGTGGGCATTTAGTGCTATAAATTTCCCTCTAAGCACTGCTTTAAATGTGTCCCAGAGATTCTGGTACATTGTATCTTTTTTCTTATTGGTTTCAAAGAACTTATTTATTTCTGCTTTAATTTCATTATTTACTCAGTAGTCATCCAGGAGCAGATTGTTCAGTTTCCATGTAGTTGAGTGGTTTTGAGTGAGTTTCTTAATCCTGAGTTCTAATTTGATTGCACTGTGGTCTGAGAGACTGTTTGTTATGATTTCTATTGTTTTACATTTGCTGAGGAGCATTTTACTTGTAATTATGTAGTCAATTTTAGAATAAGTGCTATGTGGTACTGAGAAGAATGTATATTCTATTGACTTGGGGTGGAGAGTTCTGTAGATGTCTATTAGGTCCACTTGGTCCAGAGCTGAGTTCAAGTCCTGAATATCCTTGTTAATTTTCTCTCTCATTGATCTAATATTGACAGTGGGGTGTTAAAGTCTCCCACTATGAATGTGTAGGAATCTAAGTCTCTAAGAACTTGCTTCATGAATTTGGGTGGTCCTGTATTTGGTGCATATATATTTATGATAGTTAGCTCTTCTTGGTGCATTGATCCCTCTACCATTATGTAATGCTCTTCTTTGTCTTTTTTGATCTTTGTTGGTTTAAAGTCTGTTTTATCAGAGACTAGGATTGCAACCCCTGCTTTTTATTTATTTATTTATTTATTATTATTTGCTTTCCATTTGCTTGTTAGATCTTCCTCCATCCCTTTATTTTAAGCCTATGTGCGTTTTTGTACATGAGATGGGTCTCCTGAATACAGCACACCAATGGGTCTTGACTCTTTATCCAATTTGCCAGTCTTTGTCTTTTAATTGAGTCATTTAGCCCATTTACATTTAAGTTAATATTGTTATTTGTGAATTTGATCCTGTCATCGTGATGCTAGCTGGTTATTTGGCACATTAGTTGCTGCAGTTTCTTCATAGTGTCATTGGTCTTTAAATTTTGGTATGTTTTTGCAGTGGCTGGAACCAAGTTTTCCTCTCCATATTTAGTGCTTCCTTCAGGAGCTCTTGTAAGGCAGCTCTGATGGTGAGAAAATCCTTCAGCATTTGCTTGTCTGTAAAGGATTTTATTTCTTCTTTGCTTATGAAGCTTAGTTTAGCTGGATATGAAATTCTGGGTTGAAAATTCTTTTCTTTAAGAATGTTGAATATTGGCCCTCACTCTCTTCTGGCTTATAGGGTTTCTGCAGAGAGATCTGCTGTTAGTCTGATGGGCTTCCCTTTGTAGGTAACCTGACCTTTCTCTCTGGCTACTTTTAACATTTTTTCCTTCGTTTCAAACTTGCTGAATCTGATGATTACTTGTCTTGGGGTTGTTCTTCTTGAGGAGTATATTAATGGTGTTCTCTCTATTTCCTGAATTTGAATGTTGGTCTGTCTTTCTGGGTTGGGGAAGTTGTCCTGGAAAATAACCTGAAGTGTGTTTTCCAACTTGGTTCCTTTCTCTCCATCACTTTCAGGTACACCAATCAATCACAGGTTTGGTCTTTTCACATACTCCCATACTTCTTGGAGGCTTTGTTCATTCCTTTACTTTCTTTTTTCTCTAATCTTGTCTTTATGCTTTATTTCATTAATTTGATCTTCACTCTCTGATATCCTTTCTTCCACTTGATTGATTTGACTATTAATACTTGTGTATGCTTGACAAAGTTCTTGTTCTGTGTCTTTCAACACCATCAGGTCATTTATGTTCTCCTCTAAACTGGTTGTTCTAGTTAACATTTCCTTTAATCTTTTATCAAGGTTCTCAGCTTCCTCACATTTGGTTAGAATATGCTCTTTTAGCTCAGAGGAGTTTGTTATTACCCACCTTATGAAGCCTACTTCTGTCAATTTGTCAAACTCATTCTACATCCAGTTTTGTTCCCTTGCTGGCGAGGAGTTGTGATTCCTTGGAAGAGAAGAACCATTCTGGTCAGCATTTTTGCACCAGTTTTTCCTCTTCTTCATGGATTTATCTACCTTTGATCTTTGATGCTGATGACCTTTGGATGGGGTTTTGCATGGGCATCCCTTTCATTGATGTTGATATTATTGCTGTTTGTTAGTTTTCCTTCAAACAGTCATGCCTCTCTTCTACAGGTCTGCTGGAGTTTGCTGGAGGTCCAATCCAGACCCTGTTTCCTGGGTATCACCAACGGAGACTGCAGAACAAATATTGCTGCCTGCTCCTTCCTCTGGAAGCTTTGTCCCAGAGGGGCACGTGCCAGATGCCAGCCGGAGCTCTCCTGTATGAGATGTCTGTTGACCCTTGCTGGGAGATGTCTCCCAGTCAGGAGGCACGGGGTCAGGGTCCCACTTAAGGAGGTATTCTGTCCCTTAGCAGAGCTTGAGTGCTGTGCTGGGAGATCAGCTGCTCTCTTCAGAGAGAGCAGGCAGGAATGTTTAAGTCTGCTGAAGCTGTGCCCACAGCCGCCCCTTCCCCCAGGTGCTCTGTCCCAGGGAGATGGAAATTTTGTCTATAAGACCCTGACTGGGGCTGCTGTCTTTCTTTCAGAGATGCCCTGCCCAGAGAGAAGGAAATTAGAGAGGCAATCTGGCTACAGCAGCTTTGCCATGCTGTGGTGGTCTCGGCCCAGTCCAAACTTCCTGGTGGCTTTGTTTACACTGTGAGGGGAAAACCGCCTACTCATGCCTCAGCAATGGTGGATGCCCCTCCCCGCACAAAACTTCAGCATCCCAGGTCAACTTCAGACTGCTGTGCTGGCAGCGAGAATTTCAAACCAGTGGATCTTAGCTTGCCTGTCCATCAGGTCATCTGTAGGGGTTGGACCCATTTAGCAAGACCACTTGACCCCCTGGCTTCAGCCCCCTTTCCAGGGGAGTGAACGGTTCTGTCTCTCTGGGATTCCACGTGCCATTGGGGTATGGAAAAAAACTCCTGCAGCTAGCTTTGTTTCTGCCCAAACGGCCACCCAGTTTTGTGCTTGAAACCCAAGGCCCTGGTGATGTAGGCACTCAAGGGAATCTCCTGGTCTGCAGGTTGCGAAAACCATGGGAAAAGCATAGTATCTGGCCCGGATAGCACCATCCCTCATGGCACAGTCCCTCACGGTTTCCCTTGGCTAGGGGAGGGAGGTCCCCAACCCCTTGCACTTTCTGGGTGAGGTGACTCCCCACCCTGCTTCTGCTCACCCTCTGTGGGCTGCACCCACTGTCTAACCAGTCCCAGTGTGATGAACTGGGTACCTCAGTTGGAAATGCAGAAATCACCCGCCTTCTGCATTGTCCTTGCTGGGAGCTGCAGACCAGAGCTGTTCCTATTTGGCCATCTTGCCAGAGGGATGACTTCAGTGTGTTTTTGTCTCGGCTGATAATGGTTTTTCCTTTCCACTTTCAGTGCTTCCTTCAGGAGCTCTTGCAAGACAAGCCTGGTGGTGACAGAATCCCTCAGCATTTGCTTGTCTGGAAAGGATTTTATTTCTCCTTCACTTATGAAGCTTAGTTTGGCCAGATATGAAATTATGGGTTGGAAATTATTTTCTTTAAGAATGTTGAATATTGGCCCCCAATTTCTTCTTGATTGTAGGGTTTCCACTGAAAGTTCTGCTGTTAGTCTGATGGGTTTCCCTTTGTAGATAATCTGACCTTCCTCTGTGGCTGCCCTTATTTTTTCCTTCATTTACACCTTGGAAAACTGAATATTATTTATCTTGGAGTATCTTACTGGGGTTCTCTGGATTTTCTGAATTTGAATGTTAGCCTTTCTTGCTAGGTTGGGGAATTTCCCCTGGATGATAGCCTGAAGTATGTTTTCCAGCTTGGTTCCACTCTCCCATCTGTTACAGGTTCCCTAATCAGTCTTTTTACATAATCCCACAGTTCTCAGAGATTTTGTTAGTTCCTTTTCATTCTTTTTTCACTAATCTTGTTTGCCTGTCTTATTTGATCAAGATACTCTTCAAGCTCTGAGAGTCTCTCCTCCAGTTGATCTATCCAGCTATTGATACTTGTGTTTTCATTGTGAAGTTCTCATGTTGTGTTTTTCAGCTCCATCAGGTCGTTTAAGTTCCTCTCTAAACTGGTTATTCTGGTTAACAACTCCTGTAATGTTTTATCATGGCTCTTAGCTTCTTTGCATTGGGTTAGAACATGCTCCTTTAGCTCAGTGAAGTTTGTTATTACCAATCTTCTGAAGCCTACTTCTGTCAATTCATCCATTTCAGCCTCAGCCCAGTTCTTTGCCCTTGCTGGAGAGGTGTTGCAATTATTTGGAGGAGAAGAGGCACTCTGGCTTTTTGAGGTTTCAGCATTTTTTGCATTGATTTTTTTCTCATCCTTGTGGGTTTATCTGCTTTCAATCTTTGAAGCTACTGATTTTTAGGTGGGGTTTTTGCAGGCTCTTTTTTGTTGATGTTCTTCTTGTTGTTGCTGTTTGTTTGTTTTTCTAACACTCAGGCCTATCTTCCACAGGGTTTCTGCTGTTTGCTGGTGGTACACTCCAGACCCTATTCATCCAGGTCCCTCCCACACCTGATGGTATAACCAGTGGAGGCTGCAGCGATGGCTGCCTACTCCCTCCTCTGGGAGCTCTGTCCCAGAGGGTCACCGGCCTGATGCCAGCTGGAACTCTCCTATATGAGATGTCTGGCAATACCTGTTGGGAGGTCTCACCCAGTCAAGTGTCATGAGTTCAGAGACCCACTTGAAGAATCAGTCTGGCTGCCCGTTGAAGGGGCGGGTATGCTGCACTGAGGGTAAGTCCACTGATTTGAACTGCCTGGGGTCCTCAGAGCCAGCTGAACTGGAAACCACAGCTGCCCCTTCCCTCAAGGGGCTCAGTCCCAGAAAGATCAGAGTTCTGTCCATGAACCCATGGCTGGAGTTACTGAAATTCCCACAGGAAGGCCCCACCCAGTGAGAAGGAATGGATACAGGTCCCACATAAACAGGTGGTCTGGCCAGAATCTGCCATAGCCGCTGTGCTGCGCTGTGGAGAATTCCTTCTGGTCCAAATCACCCAGTCTCCCCAGAACTGGCAGGGCAAGTCAGCCAACTGGAGTCACAGTGATGGCAGCTGCTCCTCCCCCTGGGATATTGGTTATGTTAGGCAGTCTCCAGAATCCTGACCCTGGCTGCAACCCATGAGACCACCAAAAGTCTGCACAGTTCTATGCTTGGGACCTGAAGCCCTGGTGGCATGGTACCACAAGGGGATCTCCTGATCTGTGGGTTGCACACATCCATGGCAAAAGCATGGTTTCCCTGGAGGGGTAGCACAATCAGTCACTGCCTCCCTTGGCAGGGGGTGGGTGTTCCCCTTATCCCATGCAGCTTCTGGGTGGGCTGTCACTCCACCTTGTTTTTCTTCACTCTCCATGGGTGGTGCCAACCACCTAGTCAGTCTCAGCAAGAGAACCTGGATACCTCAGCTGAAGGTGCAGTATTCCCTTGCTATTTTTGTTCTTCTCAACTGGAGCTGCTTCTAATCAGTGATCTTGAACCCTCACCACTTACTGGGATATTTCAAAGCAAAATTTAGGCACCGTGTATATTCACCCATAAATACAACAGTATACATCTCAAAAATATGGAGAATTTTTCTGAAATAATCCAATATCATTATCACCCTTGGAAAATTAATAATGTGCTTTAGTCCTTATTGAACAAAATTACTCTTGTCTAGTCAATTCATTCAAACTGTGATCTAGACAAGGTATACTCACTATATATTTGGCTCCTAAACTCCTCCTAACATTTTGTGTCTAATAATTTAGTACAGTTGTTCTTTTCTGTTTTGCTCACCTGTTGCTATTTTTGCATGAAATATTCTTCTTTTAGAAACCACGTTACATGTCTGATGAATGTCTTATATTCTGCATTTGATAGATTGCTTCCTTCATGTCATTTAATTTGTCACTTTATTCCATGACTTTTCTGTCAGCCTGATTTGATTCAGATTCTTTTTGTTTTAATACTGAATAGGTGCTGCAGCTTATTTCATATTACATCTTATCACTAGGCTCATATTGTTTGGTTTTCTCATGCATGTTAGTAATGCTACATTGGTTAGTGAGTTCAGGAGGGGACAGCAAGCCTACATGAAGTTAAAATTTCCAATCAACCTTTCACCTAATGGTTTTACTATCTATTGATGACTTGCCTGGATCAGTTCGTTCATCATGGTTGAAAATGATGATTTTTCCAATTTTATCATTTCTTCTGCATTTATTAGGTGGAATTATTTTGTATAGAACTTTTCCTTGTCCATTCTATTTATTTAATTACTCCAAATTCTGTTCATAATGGATATCAGAATGAATGCAGAATTATTTTCCTGTGATTATTAAATTCTGCAATTGATGTTCATTGTATTGAGTTGGTGTTGTAGCAATTTCCAATGGTGGCCAAGAAGTTTTGTTTTATTTCTCTTTTTTCCTGTATCATTATGAGATCATTTTTTCTGTATATACACTATTTTAATCAAATATAGTTGTTACTATTATTTGTATTATTCAAATTGCCCCATGTAGACCAGAGCACTTCAAGATTACCTCTGTATTATTTTGACACAACCTTATTAACCTTTTTGGCTTTTTTCTTTTTCATCTTACATTCTAGGCTCATCTTATACACTTCCTAATCCATAACTATAAATAATCATTAATGTAAGTAACTTTTTGTTTTAAGGTACAGAATGGTATTTAGAAATCACGGTCATGTTAGACATGGTTTGCAAGTTTATTGTTTTTAGCATATACTTTTTCTAGTGGACAGAGATAGAAAGTAAGTTTTATGAAGATTGTAATCATCAATACTTATACAGACTGATAACTCAAATTTAAACTTATAATTAGAGGGGTTTTATTTCACTTTTAATGCTAAAAAACATTGCTCCTTAAAATATCAACTTTTAAAAATTATCTTACAATATACATATAATTATGTCTAAATAATTATACTAATATTATCACTAATAATAAGACTATTTCCTACAGCTGAAGTTTCTAATGTAGCTTGCTATGATTTATAGTGAAACACTGTGTTCTAAACTCAGAAAGAATAATTCTTTTTTCTAAGTGGTTACGTCACCAAATTGATAATTATTTATGTTTGTTTTGTCTTGTTTTTAATTTTTAGGGATTCTTCATTTTGTACCAGGTTTTGTTACTTTATCATAAAAAACAGTCACATGATTTCAAACACTAACTAAAAAATAGGGTATATTCCTAATCTATCTTATCCTCCTCCCTTCCTCTCCTCTCCTATGGGTAATACTTTTTATTAGCTTTTTTTTTTTTTTTTTTTTTTTTTGAGGCGGAGTCTTGCTCTGTCACCCAGGCTGGAGTGCAGTGGCACGATCTTGGCTCACTGCAACCTCCGCCTCCCAGGTTCAAGCAATTTTCCTGCCTCAGCCTTCCCAGTAGCTGGGATTACAGGCACCCACCACCATGCCTGGCTAATTTTTGTATTTTTAGTAGAGATAGGGTTTCACCATGTTAGCCTGGCTGGTCTTGAAATCCTGACCTCAAGTTATTCACCCACCTCGGCCTCCCAAAATGCTGGGATTAACAGGCATGAGCCACCATGCCCAGCCAGCTTTTTTTTTTAATGTCCTTTTGCAAAATAAGCAATAAAGAGTATATCTGTCTATCCATCTAGCTCTCCTCCTTCATTTCTTACACAAAACATACTGTAACATATACAGTGTTGTGCATGTATGTGATGGAAATCAGTACATATCAGTGAACAGAGATCTTCCTAATTGTGTTTTAAAGACTCATAGTGTTTCATTGTAGAGTGTACTGTTATTATTTATTATTTTGCTATTACAAATAATTTTATGAAATATTATACATAAATTCTTTTTTGTGGTTTGCCAGTGTACCTTTGGGGTAGATTTCTAGAAGTTCCTAGAAGGGATTGTGTTATCCAAAGTTTGATATAATTTTGCTAAATATTGTAAACATCCCCTCCATGAGTTGTGACACTGCATTTCTAATAACAATGTGTTAGTCTTAACACATTCCTGCCAACAAGGTATATTGTGAAACTTTATCTTTATTGTTTTCCTATCTGAAAAGTGAGAAATGGTATCTCAGTGCTCTTTCATTTATTCTTTGCTTTTTATGAGTGATTTAAAATATCTTTCTGTTTGTTTAATGGACATTTGTGTATTTCTTCAGTAAAGTCATTTGCAATTTTCATATTAAGTTGCTGGATTATGTTTTCTTCTCATGTTAGAAGCTTTTTATTTGTTAGAGCTATTAATGCTTTGTCATATAAGTAGCAAATATTTTTCTCACGTTGACATTTATCTTTTGACATTTTTTCTATTCCAATGTTTACATTTATTTGATCAAACATATTACTCTTTTATTACTTATTACCAATTTTGAATCATAATTAGAAAAATTTTACTATAGCTAGGCACAAAATAATTCATCCACATTTCTATCTAGTATTTGTGTGACTTCACTTTTTTTTATTTAAATTTCTGATCCATTTGGAACTTCTATACAATGTAAGAATGATATGAATTCAATTCTATTTGTTTCTTCTGAATGGCATTAATCCAAGGATTTTTTTTTAAAAAATTGACTTATCCCTACTGATTTTCTTGGTCAACTTTATTATACATGACCAAACTCATTTTGGGGCCAGGCAGGGTGGCTCATGCCTGCAATCCCAGTACTTTGGGAGGCCAAGGCAGAAGGATATCTTGAGCCCAGGAATTAAAAACCAGCCTGGGTAACACAGGGAGACCCTGTCTCCACTGAAAAAAAAATAGCTGGGCATTGTGGCTCACACCTGTAGTACCAGATACTCCAGGAGGCTGAGATGGGAGGATCGTTTGAGCCCAGAAGGTTGAGGCTGTAGTGAGCTGTGATTGCACCAGCATATCTGGCAATAGAGCAAGACTGGTCTCAAAAAATGAATAAATAAATAAAAGATAAAAAACTTCAATACTTCAATTTAGTCTATTTCTAAAATGTCCCTTCTGTTTTATTCATCCACCTGTGCATTTCCTAATTTAACCATAAAGACTTCGCTATGTATATGTATAATATTTATTAATATTGTTGCTTTTTAAAACAAATTCCTTAGCAATTTATTCTTTTTTTATTTTCTATGTAAACTTTGAAAGTAATGTGTATGGCTCCAGTTAAAAAAAGAACTGCTGATTTTGGGGGGTCATATTGAATTTGTATATCAATTTGGAGAGAATTAAAGTCTTAATGATGACAAGGTTTCCAAGAACATGGAATTTATTTCCATTTATTCAAGTCAACATTTGTGATTTTCAAGTATGTCTTAATATTTTTCCTAGGTAGTTTTGGCATATTTCTTGCTAATTTTATTCTAGAAATTTAAAATTATTTTTTACTATTATACATGCTCTTCCCTTTTTATTCTGAATGCCTATTGTCTGTATATATGAGGCTATTAATTTCTGTATATTAATTTAATACTCAGCTTTTCAAATAGATTTTCTTATTGTTTATAATAGTTTTAGAATTTACTCTATGATTACTTGTTCTTAAGCTTTTGTTTGATTTTGTTCGTTATTCATTTTGTCCATTGTCAGTAGTGGGCATCTCATTTACAGTAATGGTCTGATATGTGCATGAATGTGTATGTTCATTTACATATGAATGTATTCATTTTTATCTATATTCAGCTGATGCTTTCATAAGAAATCTGTGTTAAATTAACATATTTTTATTGGCATCTGTGGAAAAATCATAAAATATTTCTCCTTAAATCTCTCAATAATGTATTATGTTGTCAAAGAAAAATTGCACTGAATGGAGTTAAACGGCAAAAAGGGCTGTATTCAAGACTATTCCAATAGTAGAGAAAGGTTAAACTCAAGAGTGATTGAAACAAAAGACAAGAGAGTTTTTAAGAGTTGGAATGAGCTAGGGAAAAAGTAATGGAGGATACTGGAGGAGGACAGTCAATGTGATTAGGTCATCTGTTTAACTAACTAGTACTTATGGCAGTCAGGCACCTACCCTCCCAAATGATACCTTTATTGATTATTATAATGCAAAGGGATGACCCTCAGGTGATTGAGAAAGACATTTCTGGGTTTTAAAATTTTCAACAGTGTGGGAGGCAATTTATTTACATTACATGGGGGCAAAGGAAGAATTTATAATTACAATTTTTTTTAAGTGAAGGCTCTAAGAAAAGGGAGATTAGAGGCCTACAGTAGAAAGAAATCTATCTAAAGTTTCATCAAGCTGAGGGGACAGTAAGGTCATCTTGCTTAATATTAATGGATATTCTTGCCATCATGGAATAAACTGTGGACAATCTGTATTATTTTTAAATACGATGTTAGGTTTTATTGCTTAATATTTTACTTACATTTTGGCATTGATATTCATTAGTGATATATAATTTGATTTTTATTATATTTGCTTTAAATGTTTTTCTTCTGTTAGTATTCTCTAGACTCCGTTCAGCAAACTTACAACTATCTGATTTTTAAAAGTTTGATATAAACATCTGGACATTGTTCTTTGATGTGGGGTATCTCTGAAAATTTTCTCTATTTTTCCTATGGAAATTGGTACATTTAGACATTGCACCTTTACTATAATTACTTTTGGCAGATTATTATCAAAATGCTCTTGTATTTTTATATTGTTTGATATCAGGGGAACCCACCCCCAATATTTCAACATAGGTTCTATTCTCCATAAGGGTCAGCCAGCTGAGAAATAAAGAGAAAGAGTACAAAGAGAGGAATTTTACAGCTGGGCTGCCAGGGGTGACATCACATATCGGTAAGACTGTGATGCCCACCTGAGGCTCAAACCAGCAAGTTTTTTATTAAGGGTTTCAAAAGGGGAGGGGGTGTAAGAACAGGGAGTAGATCAAAGATCACATGCTTCAAAGAGCAAAAAGCAGAACAAAGATCACATGCTTCTGAGGGAACAGCACAAAGGCAAAGCAGAACTACTGGTAAGGGTCTATGTTCAGCTGTGCATGTATTGTCTTGATAAACATCTTAAACAACAGAAAACAGGGTTCAAGAGCAGAGAACCAGTCTGACCACGAATTTACCAGGGCTGGGTTTTTCCCCACCCTAGTAAGCCTGAGGGTACTGCAGGAGACCAGGGCGTATCTCACTCCTTATCTCAACCACATAGGACAGACATTCCCAGAGCGGCCGTTTACAGACCTCCCCCAAGGAATGCATTCCTTCCCCAGGGTATTAATATTAATATTCCTTGCTAGGAAAAGAATTTAGCAATATCTTCCCTACTTGCACGTCCATTTATAGGTTCTCTGCAAGAAGAAAAATATGGCTCTTTTTTCCTGATGCCGCAGGCAGTCAGACCTTGTGGTTGTCTTCCCTTGTTCCCTAAAAATCACTGTTATTCTTTCTTTTTCAAGGTGCACTGAATTCATATTGTTCAAACACACGTTTTCCAATCAATTTGTACAGTTAACACAATTATCACGGTGGTCCTGAGGTGACTTACATCCTTATCTTAGGAAGATAACAGGATTAAGAGATTAAAGTAAGACAGGTGTAATAAATTATAAAAGTATTATTTGGGAACTGATAAATGTCCATATTAAAATGAAATCTTCACAATTTATGTTCCTCTGCCGCAGCTCCAGCTGGTCCCTCCATTTGGGGTCCCTCCCTGACTTCCTGCAACAGTTCATGTTTTCAGATAACTGGGCTTTGGTTCATTCCATTTCCCTATTTTCTTACTCATTAATTTCTGCTTTTATTTTTACCAATTTTTTTTTTTGCTTTCTTTTGGGTAAATTTTGAATATTTTTCAAGCTTTTCAAATTGCAGGTATAGGTTATTTATTTTTCTTTTTTCTACTTGCATTGACATAAATATTTCATATGATGAATTTTCCTGTTTTATCTGCATCTTATGAATTCTATATGTTATTTTGGTTATTATCACTTTTTAAAAACTGTCATTTCATTTATTATTTCCCCTTTGACCAAACCTGCCTTTTGCTATGCTTAAAAATTTATTTTTCCTAATGCTGTACTTTTAACTTTCCAGGTGTAAAGCTCTTTAATATTGGTTTTATGACATTGTGGCCAGAGAGATGCTGTTTGTCTTTTTAAAAATTTTCACTGAGTTTCTATTTGTGGCCTAGTGATCAACTTTTATAAAAAAGTAATATTCATTTGAAAATAATTATAACTTCCATTATTGGGGAGCAGAGATTGATACACTATTGATTATATTGTTTAGGTCTTGATATCCTTTCTAAATTACTTTCCACTTAATGTGTCCAGATATATGAGAGATATGTTAAATTCTTCTACTCTAAGTGTGTCTATCCATTTTTTTGTGCATTTTTGTATTTTCTACTTCATGAAAGCTGCTGATACATTATTTAATTAATAGATATTATTACTATTATTATGTTGATGTGAATTATACCCTTTAGCATTATAGAGTTCTTCATTGTCTTATTTCTTGTTTTTGACTATATGTCTGTCTTGGCTTATCTTTGTCTTATATTGCCTTATCTATATGTCTATTATATCTAGTATTGACTGTTGTTTCCCTTTTATTTGCATTTGCATGGTGTCTTTGGCTAACCCTTTCTTTAAGTAATTCTAGTTGTAATGTTCTAGACCCTTCTAAACACTTCTCAGGGTGTTCTAGAAGTGATTCTTTGTATCTGCAAATGTATGAATTTTACCAATGAATGTTGGAAAAGTCTCCACTTTTGGACAACCTTTCTCATAACCATCTGTGCTCAGCCTCTGGCATCTGGTTTCTACAGTTATATCAACATATAATTAGCTAACATGTGCAATCAATGGATCAGGCTCTCCTTCAACTTCAAGGTCTGGTCTTTTTATAGAAACCCATTCTTGACTGTTTCTCATTCAGAAAGAGTATCACATGGTTCTGTTCCCTCTAGAGATAGATGAACTGATGACCGCAGTATTTCCCACAATGTATAGTCATCACAGTAGAATGTGCAAATATAACTCATGGATATTGTTCAAGCATTTGTTTTCAGCACCATATTGATCAAGTTAGATATGGTATAATTTGTCCCCTTGGTGTCATATCACTTGGGCTTTTGACCAAATGCCTTACATGTTTATTGAAAATAGAGGGAGATTTCTTGCATTTCCTTACAAGTTGTCCTACTATCAACTCTTTCTGTACTTGTTTCTGTAATTTAAAATACCCCATCAATCATTGGTATTGTATCACAGGTCTACATCAACTTGACATCTCAGGCATGGCCATTGTATCCAATTATTGCTATGACTGCCACAGGTCACCCCACCCCTATCCCCATACATTTATATTTACACATCCTGAATCAGTTTGTTTTTAATGTATTTTTTTGAAAATGCCCAATTTTGCATTTCACTTTGCAAAAATGAGTTTTTCTTAGGAGGTGATGTTAAACAAAAAACATGGAAGACCACTGTTTTGCACTGGGCCCCAAAAAAACAGACTGAACCAAAGTGGAGTCACTCATACTAAATGCCACATAATCAAACTGAAAATTTAAGGAAGCATATAGATCCCAAAACAGATCAATTTTTCCTGAAAACAGAAGATTCCAGTCAGAATCAACTGAATAAGAAAATTCATTCTGTTAAGTCAAAAAAAAAAAGTAGCCTGAAATAAACTTATATTAACCACTCAGCTTTTTTCTGTTCATTTTTCTCATTCTCACCTTGAAAAACTCACTGTTCTGCTATTGACCAATGCAATCTCTCATTCTATTTTGTAGAATGGGGGATGGCCCTGATTCATAAATCATAAATAAAAGCAAGAAAGATCTATATCTAAATTTTGTGTAACTTTGTCTTTTGATAGTGAACTATTCTAATTTACATTTTTGATAGAAACATATTTGGTCTTTAGTTCTGTCATATTATTTCATGCAATATTTAATCTTTATATTACATTTTTATTATTTGACCTTTTAATTTTGCTTTTTTCAGAGGAAGGCTTTTTTTATTAAAGATCATTTGCATTTTTTTTCCTAGTTTGTTTTTATATTAGTACTCTTATGTAAAATTCTTAGTCAACCCTTCTTTAGATGTTATATATTACCATCAAACTACAAACAACATTTTCTCCCCTCCTACCTTTTCTTTCACTCTCCAATTTTATTCACTGGTATTATCTTGGTTAGTTGATTATTTCTATTTTTACAGAAAATATAACACATTCTTCCATCTCTTCCTTATTTTCACATTTTAGTTTTAATTCTACTGATAAACATATTCAGTGCTCATGCAAACTCATGTCAAAATTTATTGATTATTTTATGGCTACCTGAAATTTGTTCTCTAATAGATTTCTCAGGAGGGGATCACACAAATAACATTTCCAAAGTTTTGTCTATTCATAACTATTTGTCTATGATCTTATACTTGAAGAACAGTTTATCTGTATATAAATACTTGACTCACATTTTCTTTCTTTGAATATCTTAAAAACACTCTTCCTTTCTACAGGTAAATATTTACAGTCAAAGCTGATTCCATCCTGATTTTTTTTTCCTTTTTAAGATACTCATTTACCAGAGTTCCACAGAATTAATTTTCCCTGTATTTAAAGTTTAATAGTTGTTAGGAATTGTCTCAGTTTTGAATATTCTGAATAGAATTTTCAAGATAGAAAATGTACCTTTATAACATGCACATTCAAGTTACCTTTATTTTAAGAAAGTTTTCTGAATTATAGTTATAACTATTATGTTTTATTGCCTTGCATTTCTTCTTTAGAGACATCATTATGCATACGTTGGATATCTTTATGTGTGTTTTTATATTTATTACTTTTTCTCCAAACCTTTCTTGACTCTATTTTTATTTTGTTATTTTTTCCATTTCATTCTTTTCATTTCTTCTCTGTGATTTATTTTATGTATATTTGCTTCATAGTTCCTATTTAGGGTTTGGTTTTGAATTTTGCTCTATTTTCTTCTTTTTTTTTTTTCATTCTCCCCGTAGGTACTTTATTCCATGATCCTTATACTTCTATTATCTAGTCAAATCATTTCTGAGCTTTTGTATTTGTGACTTCTAAAATCCACAGAGCTAATTTTCAAATATTAGATTAAATTTATCGTCCTCAGGAACAATTTTTGGGGTGTGCTTTATTTATTTATTGGAATATTACTCATTTCATTTTCATCTTTTTTTCTTTTTAAATTTTATTTAAGTTCAGGGGTACATAGGGAGGATGTGCTAGTTTATTACACAGGTAAACGTTTGTCATGGGGGTTTTTTGCACAGATTATTTCATCACCCAGGTATTAATCCTAGTATCCACTACTTACCTTTCCTGATCCTCTTCCTCCTCTCAACCCCCACCTTCTAGTAGGCCCCAGTGTGCAATTGTTCCCTTCTATGTGTCCATGTGTTCTCATCATTTAACTCCTACTTATAAGAGAGAACATGCAGTATTTGGTTTTCTGTCCCTGCATTAGTTTGCTAAGGATAATGGCCTCCGGCTCCATCCGTATGCATGCCTGTGCCTTTATAATAGAACAATTTATATTCCTCCGGTTATATACCCAGTAATAGGATTGTTGGGTCAAATGGTATTTCTGTCTCTAGGTCTTTGAGGAATCACCACACTGTCTTCCACAATGGCTGAACTAATTTATACTCCTACCAACAGTGTAAAAGCATTCCTTTTTCTCCACAACCTTGCCAGCATCTGTTATTTTTTGACTTTTTTATAATAATCATTTTGACTGGCATGAGATGATATTTCATTGTGGCTTTGATTTGCATTTCTCCAATGACCAGTGATGTTTAGGTTTTTTTCATATGATTGTTGACCACATGAATGTCTTCTTTTGAGAAGTGTCTTTCCATATCCTTTGCCCACTTCTTAAAGGAGGTGTTTGTTTTCTTCTTGTAAATTTATTTAAGTTCCTTATAGATGCTGATATTAGACCTTTGTCAGATGCAGAGTTTGCAAAAATTTTTCTCCCATTCTGTAGGTTGTTTACTCTGTTGATAGTTTATTTTGCTATGCAGAAACCCTTTACTTTAATTGGATCCCATTTGTCAATTTTTGCTTTTGTTGCAATTGCTTTTGGTGTCTTCATTATGAAATCTTCACCCATGCCTATGTCTTGAATGGTATTGCCTTGGTTTTCTTCTAGGGTTTTTATAGTTTTGGATTT
Organism: Homo sapiens; assembly: GCF_000001405.40. Classification (NCBI taxonomy): domain Eukaryota; kingdom Metazoa; phylum Chordata; class Mammalia; order Primates; family Hominidae; genus Homo; species Homo sapiens. The sequence continues at coordinate 115,407,897 of NC_000006.12, forward strand.
CACATTTAAGTCTTTTTATTTTTATATTTATTTATTTATTTATTTATTTTTGATGGAGTCTTGCTCTGTCACCAAGCTGGAGTGCAGTGGAGTGATTTAGGCTCATTGCAACCTCCAACTCCCGGGTTCAAGTGATTCTCCTGCCTCAGCCTCCTGAGTGGCTGGGAGTACAGGCAAATGACACCAGGCCTGGCTAATTTTTTATATTTTTAGTAGAGATGGGGTTTCACTGTATTAGCCAGGATGGTCTCGATCTCCTGACCTCGTGATCCGCCCGCCTCGGCCTCCCAAAGTACTGAGATTACAGGTGTGAGCCCCTGCGCCCGGCCACATTTAAGTATTTAATCCATCTTGAGTTGATTTTTGTATATGGTGTAAAGAAGAGGTCCTGTTTCAATTTTCTGCATATGGCTAGCCAGCTATCACAGCACCATTTATTAAATAGGAAACCCTTTCCCCATTGCTTGTTTTTGTCAGGTTTGTCGAAGATTAAATAGTTGTAAGTGTATAGTCTTATTTCTGGGTTCTCTATTCTTTTCCATTGGTCTATATGTCTGTTCTTGTACCAGTACCATTCTATTTTCATCTTTTTTCTTCCACTGTCTCAGTTTAGAGTTCAAAGACAATCCCTTTTCCCTTTGATTAAACAAGCTAGGCTTTCCCTAAGCTCTTATGAAGGGTTTCTGTAGGGTTGAGAATGGCTGAGGGTAGTTTTCCTGTTTGACAACTCAAGTCTCCCTTCTCTGTTAGAATCATGAATTATTCAAAAATATGATGTTTTTGTGTAACTGCTTTTTAGGCATGGAGAGGTAAGCTTGTCTCAAGAAAGCTCTCACCTCCAACTCTTTTTCATTCAAAGCTTCATGGCTACATTCTGTATTATTGTACTTTTTAAGGTCTGAGCTTTATTGTAAATGTAATGGTGACCTGGATCTTCAATTTATTCCTATAGTTAATTCTTATTTTACCACTCGGGCCTTAAAACTCTCATTACTTCTAGAGCCCAAATTCAAATCTAGATGTGACTTCTCCCAAGCCCTCAACTTTTAAGGTCTATTAATAACCTTAAATTAATAAGGTAATTAATAACCCTATTGCAACCAGCACTACTAAGATCTCAGGGTTGCTTCCTACCCCACTAATATGCAGGCACTAGATACTCTTCCTCTTTCGCAGCATCTAAGGCAAATTGAATGCAAGCCACTTGCAAAAAAGATGTCAGAAAGCAAAAGTGGAATTGATTAATGTACTGACCATTAACTGTAGAATTGTGTCTAGCTCAATTTTTGAGCATGTTCTTATATATGGCAAAGTTTATTTAATTAATGCTGATTTTCAGCCACAAGTCAGCATATCTTACTGTCTTACTGACCTTGTTTATTATTTTTTTCTTTACTAATACTGACAAACAGGGGATCTCGTTTTTATATTTTGCAAGTTATCAGCACTTTTCTGTGAATTCAAGAGCAAGATGGAGAATCTGCTTGATTTTTTAAACATTCTCATTTCTTAATGAATGTAGTGTTGAGTAACTAATAAGGATAAGATGTTCATTTATTCATTTCTTTAGTTGCTTCACATCTGGTATCCTTGTTATTCCACTTCAGTGAGATTCTTTCTCATCTAATTTTAGTACAGCTCATAAGGGTATGCTATGATTTATAAGCTGAGCCTGATGAGATAAAGAATTTGCCACTTAATTTAGAAATAAAGAGTAAGACTTCCCATTCTTTCTAATTTGTTGAGTTCTGATGACTTTTTCTATCCTATTAGCCATATATATGCAGTAAATAAAGTATCTTACATAGAAAGAGTGATGGAATATATGGAATATATATATATTTATATATGTATACATATACATGAAAGAAATAGAAAACATCATGATTTTGTCTGATTATTTAATAAAGCATAAAGAGGATTTTAGAGGATTGACATTAAGATTTGAGTCCTGGCTGTAGAAGTAATAAGCGATATGATCTTGAAGTTTACTTAATTTCCTTAATTCTATTTGTTTTTCTGTAAAAGTCAGTTTAATGGTATCGATCTTACAAAGTAGTTCTATGAAATGAGATTAACAGTACAGTTCCCAATCCATAGTACAGATGATCCCTGATTTACTATGGTTCAATGTACATTTTTCAACTTTACAATGGTGTGAAAGTAGAAACTATACTTCAAATTTTGAATATTGATTTTTGATTTTTTTCCAGGCAAGCAATATGCAGCATGATACTCTCTCATGCTGCTGGGCAACATCAGTGAACTGTAGCTCCCAGTCAGCTAAGCAATCCCAAGGGTGAAAAAACAATTTTCTACAGTGTACTGTGTTGCCAGCATGATACTCTCATGTGCTGCTGGGCAACGTCAGTGAGCTGTAGCTCCCAGTCAGCTAAGTAATCCAAAGGGTGAAAAAACAATATTCTACAGCGTACTGTGTTGCTAGATAATTTTGCCTAACTGTAGGCCAATGTAAGTGTGCTGAGCACATTTAAGGTAAGTTAGGTTAAGTTATATTTGCTAGGTTAGGTGTATTAAATGCATTCTTGACTTAATGATATTTTCAATTTATGATGGGTTTATCTGATGTAACCCCACTGTAAGTTCAGAATAATCTACATTACTGAAGAAATGTTTGTTTCATTTCAATTTCTTTATTCTTCACCAAGGTAGCATTACTGTCATCATGTGGCTTGAGATGGTTCTCAACTACTTCTGCTTGAATATTTGTGGCCTGTAAAATCCAATACACTCCCTCTATTTTCTAGTATGTGATGGGGCCACAGAAGTGGAGACTAGAGATGGGGAAAGTAATTTACTGATTGGAGTAGTTTAATGATCACCATTCCATGAAGTTAAGGTTCTGCAAATAAGAAAGAAAAGGAAAATAAATAATAAGATGCCAGCAGTCTCTGTAACATATTGTTTTAGCTTTAATAATCTCATCCTCACTGCCAGAAGATAGAATAAGAGCCGAATAATATGAGAAAGTGGTGCTAAGGTAGTATGTCCTTTAGTGGGAGCATACCAAGTTCAATGAGCCACACCTAAAAGAGGTCATAGCTGAGATGGTGCTGTCCAGGCAAAAGCAGCATAACATCCAAAAAGATGTAAGATGGAGGAAATGATTAGAATCAGGGAGAACCAAACTAGGGTAAAACTTTAATATTAAATGACAATGCTTAAACTTTCAGGAAGCAGAAAACTTGTGCTTAAGACCTTGCTTTTGTTAAGTTGAACAAAAAAAAAAATCTCTAAATTACGAGTAAAGAGATAAGATTTTCTCTTGAAAGTGAATTAGAGCACTATCTTATTGTCTCTTTATTCTCTCTCCTTGGTAATAGTCTAAGTACTGCTGTGCCACTAATTCAGCAGTAGGTCCAAAACACAAAGTCAAATAGAAGACAAGATACTAGTAGGAAAAAACTCTGGGCATGTAAGAAGCATTGAAAAAAGCAGGCTGGAGTTGCGGGGATTTGAGTTAATCCTATTAAACAGTGCAAATATCTTTTAAGAACATTAACTTCAGGAAAAAGACAGTGAAGGTATATGTAGTTCAAGGTTATGTGGATAGAAAAATATATTTTCTTTAAAAAAATCAATTGATGGTTTCATAGGTAATTATAATGAAAATTTTATTACAGCAGAGAAGCTATGAACTTTTTAAAGTGCTCAAAAGCATTGTTTTTAATCTTTCAGGGAGCTCAGTGTCAACTTTTCACAGATTTAAGTATTGCAGCCTAAATGCCAGGTGGTAAAATTTCATCTGAATTAATACACACTATGATGTTGACTCCATGGTGGTTTATGACTAGGCTTAAAGAGAAGGAAAGAGACTGTTTCATTTTCTAATAGCTATAAAACAATAGATGATGTGTCTGGGTTCTAGAGAAATAGCAGAGAATCGTTTGACACCATTTCTTAGGAAATGAAAGATATATTTAGCAAGTACAGCCCAAATGTCTCTTTTACCACCACATATTTTGTCAATTGTGACCCTGGCAAGCATCACTCTAGTTTTTAAAGACATTTAAAACTGCACTTCAATCATTTTCAGTTAATTATAATACTAACATGACAAATAATGGCTTCCAACTTGATGCCAAATTATAGATGGAAAAGGGAAATGTGGTGGCATGTGTTGAAATACTGAGTGTTAACAAGTACAGCCGCTCTGAGGATAACAGCTGGATAAGAAACTACTAGAGTCAAGGGTGTGAGCTTGTACAGAGAGAGAATAAATTAAGTCAGTCATTTCCTAAATACAGGACTTTTACTGGAGACATATTGTTTAAACCATTGGAAATGGAAAATGAAGCACATCACTCAGAAGTCAATGCTAATGACAGGCCATGCATTTTAGACGCTTCCTAGACTCAGGGCCTTTGCATAAGATGTTCCCTCTTTCTGGAACACTTGCTTTTCACCCCTCCTTGCTAACTGTTTTTCATCTTACAAATGACAAGTAGGATATCTAGCCTTTTGTTCCCACAGCTCCAGCTATGGCCTTTATCCCATGATTATTATATTATATTTATTATATTATATGCCATCTCCAGTAAACTACAGACCCTAAAGAGTAGTGATAATGTGTTGTTATTCTATCTCTGCATCTACCCTAATGTCTGGTACCATTGAAGAAACTCTTGATTAATGAATGAATAAAAATAAAATGCACATCAGAGACAGTTAAACACACAAGTCTGTATACTTAAATTCAAGCCCCTTCCCATTCTCATCTCTTCAAAATCCTTTTCTGGGAAAGATTGTACCAATTTTGTATTTTATTTAGAAATCACTGTTCCTTGTCACAAAAGATTCATTTTAGAGAAATTTTAGTTTTGAAGATGACAAGTTTTCTGTATCTCTTGCCTCAAAAAGATTCAAAATATTTTCTTCTTGTGGCCATTTTTTTTTCTTTTCCTTTCGAGGGAAAACCCTGCCAAGTCTTCCACACATGCCACAATTTGAGGATTTTGATGTATCTGATGGCCTAGAGGATTTGCAAATAGATGTTCTAGTGTGTTGGGATTTTTTCATTTTGAAGCAAATCCATGAGTGGTACAGGGCAGATTATGTTCAATCCTGGGGAATGTGGTCATCTGCATTAGTACATCTAAAGGATGCAACAAGTAAGGATGCTAAAGAAAAACACCTTTATAAGAACTGATTATATAGATACTGAAAGCTGGAAGACAGTAAGGAAACAAACATTTTTATTGATCATGACTTCTGTCCTGGGCACAGTGTTGGACACTTTATGTAGTGTAGTGGCTAATAATACAAATTGTACATTCAGCCTGGCAAGGTTCAAATTTATCTTTGACCCTTACCATATATATGACTTTGGAAAAACTCTTTATTCACCATTACATATCTAAGTCTTTACCTCAATGTCTTCATCTGGAAAATGGAGAGAGTTATATCTCCCAGTTCATAGAATTCTGGGGATAATTAATGATATATGTTTGATGGTAAAATCTTAGAAAACTGCCTGACACATAGAAAGTGTTATGTATGTATTTGCTTCAACAATTATCAGTATTATTTGAGCCCATATCAATTTTTCCCCAACGTTTCTACACTTGAAGGTTTAGATTTTCTGTCCAACCACCATGACATACAGATATTTTCTTTTTAAGAAATCAGCAGAATCCAAAACTCTTATGATGGATTTGAAGAAAGAAACTGAAAGCTTTGTTACTGTTTCCAAAAACACATTTTGGATAGGCATTTATTACTGACAAAAAAAAATGTGGGTACTTCCTATATCTTAGCTGATAGTCATGTGTGTAAACTGAAAAGCACCAACAACTTTTTGAGTGAGATTTTATATCCAAATTGAGTTTTGAAAAATAGTGGGTAGAAAATGAAGGTGAAGAGGATTGAGGAGTTGCAATATGACTCAATCAATAGTAAAGTAGGAGGACACACAAACAGACATGCCCTTTGTGAAAACTGTAATCAAGGAAACATGCTTCTGTCATCTAAACTTATCCATCCAAGTATACAGTATTTTTGACAGTGATGAAAATAAGGGTTACTACCTGGAATAAATCTATTTAAGCAGCTACAATACAAGAAATATCAAGACAAGGAAGGCAGTTTCTGATGTAGTCAAAACAAAGTTACCGTTGGTGATTGGCAAGAATAATTGAAAAGCCTGGCTTTCCTGATATTTTGAGCTAAACAAGTTTTATATCTATACTTCCTGCTCCTTTTTTTAACAGGCAATAAATTGGAATTGTCCATTTGGTCACCATCTGTGCAGTTTTACAAGGCACACTGTAAAGTTAGGAAAAATACCTAAACACTTAGTATTTCCTGGCCCAGGTTCACAATTTTTAAAATTAGATTAATAATTTGTTGTGCTGATAGTTTTAAGATGATCTACCAGGCACTAAAATTAAAGCCTACGATAACAGCTGAGAAAAATATAAGAAATATTTATAGACTTTATAACATACTAATTGTTTAAGTAGATTACAATAGGAGTTTTTGTTGTTGTTGTTTCTTTTTTGATAGAGAGAAGGTCTCACTATCTCAGAATGGCCCAGCTGGTCTCAAACTCCTGCCCTCAAGAAATCCTCCTGCCTTGGCCTTCCAAAGTGCTGGGATTAGAGGCATGAGCCACTGCACCTGGCTAACAATTTTTAAAGGGAAATTTTTATTGACGTAAATGATCAGATTCTAACCCAATGCAATAAAGTTTCCAGTAGCACAGTAGGTGTTAATCATCTTGAGTTCATTTTGAAAATTCTAGCATATAAAAAACATTAAGTTTCTTCGGTGAACTGAGACTGATTTTTTAAAATGAGTTGGATTCTACTTCGAGATACAAAATGTTACCAGAACAAAAAATATTCAAGCTAAAAGTTATGAAGATTTCAGTAAATTGTACAAATATTAATACTCAGCAGCACAGTGGGCCATGACTCAGTTTTCTGGGTTTTCATCAATGTTAGAGACAGAGTGAGACGATGGATCTTCAACTACAGGGCACAGTGCCTGGCACTTAAAAGACTGTAAATCAAAAAGTATCTCAGACCAGTCTCAATCAATTTAGAAGTTTATTTTGCCAGTGTTAAGAATCGTGACCCCTTGAGATTAGGGAGTGGTGATGACTCTTAACGAGCATGCTGCCTTCAAGCATCTGTTTAACAAAGCACATCTTGGCACCACCCTTAATCCATTTAACTCTGAGTTGACACAGCACATGTTTCAGAGAGCACGGGGTTGGGGGTAAGGTTATACCCAGGGACACAAACACAGCGGAAGGCCGCAGGGACCTCTGCCTAGGAAAACCAGAGACCTTTGTTCACGTGTTTATCTGCTGACCTTCCCTCCACTATTATCCTATGACCCTGCCACATCCCCCTCTCTGAGAAACACCCAAGAATGATCAATAAATACTAAAAAAGGAAAAAAAAAATTCGTGACCCCTAATACAGCCTCAGGAGGTCCTGAGAACATTTGCCCAAGGCGTTTGGGTTACAGCTTGATTTTAGAAAGGTGGGTCATCTGTGGGTGGGGTGGGAGTTGTGATTCCAGGTCATGGGTGGATTTAAAGACTTCCTAATTGGAAATTTGTTGAAAGGATTAAACTCTGACTGAAGAGTTTCAATCAGCTTGAGTTAAGGTAAGGTGGTGCGGGGTAGGGGGTGGAATCCAAGGCTCTTGTCATGTAGATGAAGCCTACAAGTAGCAGGCTTCAGAGGAATAGATGCGAATGTCTCTTATGGATCTTAAAAGGCTTCAGAGCTAGTAAGGGGAGATTCTCTATAGAATGCAAATTCCTCCCTTAAGAGGCAGCTTTGCAGGGCCATTTTAAAATATGTAAAAGAAATAAATTTTGGAGTAAAATACTTTGATTTCCTTCAGAGCCTACTATCTGTCAGGTGATGTTATACTAGAGTCAGGCTGGAATTCAGTATCTCATTGTTACAGGGAGTCTTTTTTGTTAGTCTTAAGATCTATGTTTTATTGTTAATGCTGGTTAGTTGCCTCTAAACTTCAAAGGGAGGAGAGTATAATGAGGCATGTCTGATGTCCCCTCTTCTCATGATCTGAACTCGTTTTTCAGGTTTGTTTGTGTCCCCTTGACCAAGAGAAGGGTCCGTTCAGTCACTTGAGGGGCTGAGAATTTTATTTTTGGCTTACACTACTAATGTTCTGTTTCTGAATATTTCATCTCTATATGAGCATGTCCTCTAATAAGATATTTATATAGAGCTCTGTGTTCATGATCTAGTCATACTTATAGCATCTTTTTGAGCAAAGGTGTGGCAATTATTTATATTTTTAATTTACAGAGGGGAAACATTGCTTATACATTAATGCAAGTAGAAATTTTTCTAGTGTTTACAGATGAGAGTAGAAGCCTTACTATTGTCAGACTCGAGTGAACCAGAGCAACTCCATCTTAAATATGAGCTGGGTAAAATGAGGCTGTGAAACCTACTGAGCTGCATTCCCAGATGGTTAAGGCATTCTAAATCACAGGATGAGATAGGAGGTCAGCACAAAATACAGATTATAAAGACCTTGCTGATAAAACACGTTGTGTAAAGGAGCCGGCCAAAACCCACCAAAACCAAAATGGTGATGAGAGTGACCTCTGGTCGTCTCCACTGCTACACTCCCACTAGCACCATGACAGTTTACAAATGCCATAGCAACGTCAGGAAGTTACCCTACATGGTCTAAAAAGGCAAGGCATAAATAATCCACCCCTTGTTTAGCATATCATCAAGAAATAACCATAAACATGGCCAACCAGCAGCCCTCAGAGCTGCTCTATGGAGTAGACATTCTTTTATTCCTTTACTTTCTTAATAAATTTGCTTCCACTTTGTACTGCAGACTCACCCTGAATTCTTTCTTGCGCAAGATCCAAGAACCCTCTCTTCCGGACTGGATTGGGACCCCTTTCCTGTAACACTATGACACAATTATTTACTCCTCCTTTGATCTACTGATTGCTAAAGAGAGCTTTCATCTTTTCATTCTAACTTAGTCATCTTTCAATAGGATTTTTATTCAGTAAAATGTCAACAGATTATTATGGTTGTGTTAGCAGCAGCAAATTCATATAGGTCTGCAGCAACCTCAAGTCTTGCCTGCTTGGAAGAATTAATTTGACTGAAGGGGCATAAGGCTGGGTGAGAGACTGAGGCAAGTTTTAGAGCTGGAGTGAAAGTTTATTAAGAAAGTTTTAGAGAGGGAATGAAAGGAAGTAAAGTACACTTGGAAGAGGGCCAAGCTGGCAACTTGAAAGACTCAAGTGCATGATTTGAGCTTTGACTTGGGGTTTTATATGACAGCACATGCATCTAGGCGGGTTGCATCCCTTCTTCCCTGATTCTTCCCTTGAAGTCTGCTGTCTGCATGCACAGTGGTCTGCCAGCCCTTGGGAGCATCCACATGCACAATGTGTTTACTGAAGTTGTATGTATGCTCACTTGAGGCGTTCTTCCCTTACCAGTTGAGTGTTACTAAAAGAAAGTCATATACCAGGTAAACTCTGTCATTTTTCCTCTGAGTGTGCATGCTTGAGCCCATGCACCTAACTCTTGATATCTTATCAGGAACCTATTGATCACTAATTTCAGGTATTTTCTATCTATTGGGAGACTGCCTTCTCCTGGTGTAAGCTGCAAACAATTATTATTTTAGATAGTTTAACAACCACCTGAACATCAGCTGATGATTACCTGTCGTTTGTGGTTTGGGGTCCTCTCCTGCCCAGCTCATGTTTGACTAACTACTCTAGCAGTTCTAAACTTTTGAATTTAGTATGAAAATACATCTTCCTGAAGGAATGTTAAAATCGCTTTGCCCTATCACCTACAAGCCCAGGACTGCAAATGTAGTATATTTATCATTTTGGGGGAGAACCTTGGTCTGAGTTCAGCTAGTTGTACTTAGTGAGAAATTTATAATTACTCTTGTACAAATTTTTGCTTTACTGAGTACTGAGGTAATAGCAGAAAAGATAAGTAATAAAAATAAGTAGCAAAACTAACACAGTTATTTTATATATAAAGTTTTCTTTTTAAAACATAACAAGAGTCTTTTCATTTAGTAAAACCATAGAGAGCCATATTTTCAAAAATTTCTTCCAAAGTAATATTAATCTTCTGAAAGAAAATGTGTTTCTCTTTGGGAATCATGATACTTATTGATGCAACAAATGCTATGAGACATTCTGTAGTGAATATGGTTAATTTTATTACACATAATAGCCAAAACTTTTTGTAAATCATAGAACTATTTTCTTATTCAACAGATAATATCACATTGGTAGGTACTGATTATTTTAATTTTTTTAATGAAAATAAAATAATTAACTCCCTTCATGTGTTATGAGCACAGACACTGAACCCTGAGATTTAATTCAAAGGACTCCTCAAAGATTCTCAAGTCTGTGTGGGTGGGGCATGGGGAAACATGACAAAAGGAAAGAAAGACAAAGGAGCATCTCATTTTATCATTAAACTATATTTTAAGGATTGATCAAATACACCAATTAGAAGATTTCTTAGAGAAATATGTGCCCTACAAAATTAACACTCTTCATTCCAATTCAGCAATAACTCAACATTTTCTTGGAAATAACTTGTTCACAACAAAGTGTGAGTTAATCATTTATCTAAGAGATACTTTTAAATTCTGTCTTTTACTGAAATAGTCTCCCTAAAATAACATTGGCACAGAAACTTTTTATTTTTCTTGTTATATGTATAGTTATAGTGAAAATTGAAATCATTATGCTAAAAGCTCTCTAAGATCTTTATTTGTCTTCTCAGTTGTAAAATGATTTATACGGTAAATCTTACCACCTGTTCAAACTACAAGCAAAATCAGATATCTCAGTGCCAAAATGTGTGTGTGTATATATATATATATATATATAGTGTATATACTATATATACTATATATACACTATAGATATACTATATATACACTATATATATACACACTATATATATCTATATAGTATATCTATATAGTATATCTATAGCATATATATAGTATATATATAGTATATATATACTATATATATACACACTATATATATAGAGATAGTATATATATACATATATATAAATAAAATTCACTGATTGTGGAGGGGAGCAGTATGGGGAGACAACACCCCTTCAACTATGTATTATTGATTTTCCTGATAAGTACAGATATGATCATCTGAAGAATTTTCTTAATCTGTGCTCATTTTGAAATTGAAATAATTTTCCATTTCTTGATGACAAAAATATCACATGTGATTTCAAAGAATATTTGTCTGCGTATCTCAAGTGTAATGCTTGCCAAATACTTGATTTCAAAAATTCAATCAACCAGTTGAGGCTATTAGGTTTCACATATGTGGTTCCCAAAATTCTGAGTATTTAACTTACACATGCCCTGCCTGTGTCTAAATTCAGATTGTTAGAAATAATCTGCTTATAAGTTGATGATTACTACTACTTTAGTTTTTCTACTATTTCTATAGAACTCTTCCATAGAAGACAATCTCAGTGTATGAGGCACTTCACATAATTATTATTTGAGATAAAAATTATATACAGTGAAATGTGCTAATCCAACAGGGCTGAGTGGCTCACACCCATAGTTCCAGAACTTTGGGAAGCTAAGGCAGGCAGATTCCTTGAGTTCAAGAGTTTGAGACCAGCCTGGGCAACATGGCAAAACCTCATCTCTACCAAAAACAAAACAAAAACCAACCCCAAAATCAGTTGGGCATTGTGGCATGCACTGGAAGTCCCAGCTACTTGGGAGGCTGAGGTGGGAATATAACTTAAGCCTGGAAGGCGGAGGTTGCAGTGAGTGGAGATTGTCCCACTGCATGCCAGCTTGGGTGACAGACTTACACAAAAAGAAGCAGAAGGAGGAGGAGGAGGAGGGGAAGTGGAAAGGGAAGGGGAAGGGGAAGGAGGAGAAGAGGAGGAGGAAGAGGAAATGATCAGATCTTAAGTGTATAAAGCATGTGTTTTGATAAATGACCTATGTATCTCCACTAAAGATAACATTTCATTTTTGTCAATTTAGGTAGTTTATTCATGCCCTTTTCTAATCAATCCTCATCATCATCACCACCTGCATCAAACCTGAACGCTATCATCAAGATTGGTTCTAGGTAATCTTGATGTTTATATAAATAGGATCACAAATTATATATTATTTTCTGTCTAGTTTCTTATGATCAAGAGAGTATTTTTGAGCCTCATCCACAGTGGTTGTATATTTCCAGAGTTCATTCTTTTCACTGCCAAGTATTCAATTGTATATCTATATCTTAATCTGTTAATCCATTTTCTTGTTGATGGTCACTTGGATCATTTTCAACTTTGGAATATTACAAAAATAAGACTGCTTCAAACCTGTGGAGGCATATGTAGACATCACTGTAGGTTTTCCTAGATCCTCTTTATCAGTCAGAAGATATTTCTTTCTAATGCTAGTTTGCTCAGAGTGTTTATTCTGAATGGATGTTGAATTGTTTACAAGCGCCTTTTCTACACTATTGGTATGATCCTATGGCTTTATCTTTTTTCATGGTAACATGATGAATTACATTAACATTCAAAATTTAAGCTAACCTTGCATTCCTAAACTAATTCTCTCTTGACATTATGTATTATCCTTTTCAAAAAATATACAATTGCACTTTATTTATTTCCTAATACTTAGTTAAATATTTTTGCATCAATGCTCATAAGTGATATGAATCATTAATCTTTCTCTTGTAATGTATTTGTGAGGTTATGGTATCAAGGTCATGCCAGTCCCATAAAACAAGTGTTTCTCCTCTTATTTTCTAAAATAAGAGTTCCTATAAGGTTTATATTATTACGTTTTTACATGTTTAAAAGGAAATTCACCAAAAAAGTGCCTTTTTAAAAAAATACTTTTATAATCAATTTAAGCTCTTTAAATGATATTTAGTTATTTAGATTTCGTATATCTGCTTTAGTTATTTTGTTATTTATTTCAATGAATTTGTAAATTTCATCTAAGTTATTGAATCTATTACCATAAAGTTGTTTTATAGCATTATCTTGTTATCTTTATAATGCCTCTAGGATCTAGAGTGATATCTCCTCTTCCCATTTCTGTTATTATTAATTTGTGTTTTCCTTTTCGTTTTTCCTTGATGTGTCTAGTCAGAGCTTTAACAATTTTATTAATTTTTTTAAAAACAAAATTTGGAGTTTTTAAAAAACTTTCTCTACTATATGCCTGTTTGGGATGCTACTGCTTTCTGTTCTGTTCTCTTTAGCATTTTCTTCTCATTCCATTTCATTAGGTTTTTTTTGTTGTTGTTTGTTTGTTTGTTTTCTTTTTTTCCTTTTTTGAGATGGAGTCTCACTCTGTTTCCCAGGATGGAGTGCAGTGGGCAGTGGTGCACAATCATGGCTCACTGCAGCTTTGATGTCCTGGGTTCAAGTGATCCTCCCCTCTCAGCCCCTCAAGTAGCTTGGACTACAGGTGTGTGCCACCACACCAAGCTAATTTTTTTGTAGAGAAAATGTCTCCCTATGTTGCCCAGGCTGGTCTCCTGGGGCTCAAGCAATCTCCTGGGCTCAAGCGATCCTCCAGCCTCAGCCTCCAAAAGTGCTAGGATTTCAGGCGTGAGCCACCACACCTGCCCTATACTTCCTAACATTAGCAATTAAAGTATAAATTTGCCTTTAAAGGACAGTGCTAGCTGTGTTTCACAAAGTTTGATATAATGTGTTTTCATTATTTTTCACAGATAAATCAAAATACATATTTTATTTCCCATATAGTTATTTCCTTGACTATGCTTTACTTACAGACTTTTTATTCCAAAATAGTTAGGACTCTTCTGAATAAGTTATTAGTATTAATCACTAATTTTATTTTATTTTAATATCATCTGTTTTCGGTTCATTATTCTTCCTTTCTTGCCATCTTTTTTGTTAAGTAGATAAAATCAGTATTTGTTTTAATTATTTCTTAATTATTTTCATTAGTTTACTTTTGCATACATCTTTAATCTCACAATACAATGTTATAATTTTGTTTCAACCAGTCAACTGTCTTTTTAAAATAAGAAGAGAAGTAACAAATGATAATCTTTTGCTTTTAGTTTCTATATTTAACATTTCTAATGCTCATAATTTTTCCAAGTCTTATTGGTATGATTTCCTTTTCACCTGAAGCACTTCATTTTTCTTTCACATTTCTTGTAGTACAGGTCTGCTAGAGATAAATTAATTTATCTTTTATCGTTCACTTTTCACCTCATATGTATCTGAAGATGTTTGTCATTTTGAACTCTAAAAGCTCTTTTGAATCTGCCTGCATCTCTTGATCACCTGATCACTGTCTTTACATGGCCCTCATCCTATGTCTGTGTGTCCTCTCTTCTTATAAAGACAACAGCTATTGGCTTTAGGACCCACTTTAACCCAGTATGACCTTATCTTAATGACACCTGCAAAAATTCTACTTCCAAATAAGATTACATTCTGAAATTACAGGTAGACATGTATTTTGGAGAGATACTATTAAACTCATTAAACATATATTTTCTAATTTTGAATGCAACAATTACTATTTTCACAGAAACCATCCCACGTTGTAATGATTTAATATTCATTTTTTGCAAATTGTACATGCACTGAAGAGTTGTGTTGATCAGTTCATCTCATCCAATGATCAGTTAATAGGATGGAGTTTTCCTAGCCAACATTTTATATCATTTATATGTTATCTATTATTGGTGGTGGCATTTCTGTTGTGCTGCTTTTTATTCACCAGTGATACAAAAGGCTCAAAATTGTTTTAGTGAAGTGAAAGATAGGAAGTTATTAATAGATGTGTTAAAACTCAGAGTAGCATCATAGACGCAAATATGTAGTCAAAAAGACTCTGGACTTATTTTATAATGTTATTCTATTGGTGTTAGGTCAAATGAATCTGAAAATGTGATTATTTTCCAACAAAGCCAAAAACAAAATTGCAAATTGGAAATAATGAGATGAATATCTGAAAATTGGATTTCTTGTCCTAGTGATACATTTTTCCCTAGTCTCTCATCAATAAAAGTAACACTGAAAAAGTTTCACTTTCTATAGCAAATATATAAGAAGTTCATAAAATTAAATAAAATGCTAATGGCATATATTAAAAAAAAACAGAAAAGCTCTTGGCAAAATCCTTCTATGAAATAGCACTGTAGAATGTTCTATAACATTAGCATCACACAATGTGGGGAAGCAATAGCTATTCCTTGTGCTAGTTAGCATGTTGTTTACTTCTCATGATCATGTATGTGCAAAGGTAGAATCTTTCCTTGGCATTTTGGCATTGATTCAGAGTATAGATACATGACAACAATGTTCCTGTATGTTACTGAGAAGCTAGTCTACAAGAGACAAAGTGTTTTTAATAACTTTTTTCACACAATGTACTCTGCAAAAGTATGTTGGAATCAATATAGATTAACACAATAAGAAATGGGACTAATAAATGTATTTTTAAAATTGCAATCTTTATACAGCTTTATTAAGAGGAAATAGCTGGCCAACAATGTGATTTTTGAGTTTGATTAAATATGGAATAAAACAATGAAAGTTGGGAGTCTAATCAAATTGTGGTCACCAAGGATGCATCATTTCCATATGCTATGCAAAGAAATGGTAACAAGCATAGGTTTGCTTCTCTCAGTGCAGAATATAAGCTGTCAAGGGAAAGATGCACATATGAGTTTTCAAAATAAGGAACAGATTTTAAAACGTGTATTTATGATCCCAATAATGTCAAGGAAAGAATAACTTGTAAGATTTTGAGTTGCTTTTCTAAGTGATGTGTTCCAGTATTTGGAATAGTATGAAAAAAAAATGTGTTTTTTAAGGTTGAGTTGAGGAAACCTATTTTTTAAATACCCAATTATGGTACAACTTGCTGAGACATTGCTTTTTCTCCCCAAAGTTCATGAAATTTTCACTGTCAGAGAAATTAATTAATGATATATTACTCCTGAGAATATTTAATATCATACAAGTGATACAGTAGAACAATAAAAACACTTTCTACAGCTGAATGAATTAGGGCTTCACTTACTTCTCTCATCCAAATCAAACATGCCAATTGCTAGTATTGCATCTGACATTATTATTCCTGTCCACCTAGTTTCCAGTGGTTTATAGTGTGAAATCTCTTCTTGGTTTCTAGATATTCAGATTAAATATCTAGGACTATCTGTAACAACCATGAAACACTTGTCATCAAGTGAGTAAATTAGAAGCATCTGGGATCGATCAGTTGAAAAATGTATTTACTTCATTAAAACTTACTTTTTCAGTGTGGCCATGGGAAATCTTCAAATTTTTTTGGTCTGTATCCAGAGGTGATTCTTCCCTGATAAGCCTGTTACAAGCAGGATATCTTGCGAACAGTTAAAATGCCTTTGTCAACTCAGATTTCTTGGAGAGGTATGTCTTTTAGTCCTGCTTTCTTGAAGTCCAGCTATTGCTGTTCTAGCTGAAAACTCCTTCAGAGGAAAAACTCTGTCCTCAGTTATAAAAGGGAGGAGGCTTCAATTTTGACCCTATGACACAACGTTTTTTTGGGGTTTTTTTTGTTTGCTTGTTTCCTAGCACTTTATTTGTATTTTTCAGAGGCATTTGTTTTGTTTTCCTTATATTTTCTATGGACTTTATTACTCTCCATGGAAATTTGTTTTTTAAAAAAAAATTCATAGTAGAATATCGTTGTTTTCACAAAATTATGTTGAACGTAAATGAGACTTGCATTGATTACATTCCAGTGCCTCAGTATATCAATTCAGAGAATACATAGTCAAATATACTTCAGAATTTTTTTTAGCTCCATTTTTAAAAATTTATTTTTCAACATAAAGAGGAAGCCTGAAAACAAAATTTACTTCAACTAAAGTGCTCATTATTATCGACTGATAAATCAGGAAGTCTATTAGGAAGGATTTGGAGGGATATACTTTCTAAATGGTCTCAAAGAAACAGAATGAAAAAGTGGGAAAGTTGAAGTAAGCATTCCAGGTTGGTGAAGAAGCATACAAGAGATTATAGAATAATACAGAAAAACAATAATGCAGGGGTCAGGATTGTTCTGTGTGGCAGGGGAGGAATATGTCAATTGCAAGAGATACAGGAGGTATGATTTTTACTTAAGACTTTGATTTGATTCTATCAGGCTGATTCCTCTAATTAGAGCTTACATGGTAAATTGAATGACATACTTTGGGACTATATGTGATATCTCCATTATATAAATTAAATTATAAGGAGAAATAATTCTAAATGAGTACTGTCATAATTATGGAGGTTCTATATTTTTGTTTCTATAAATTACAGATATTAGTCTGCAGTTATCTTTGCTTGCGGTGTCTTTATCTGATTTTGGTATTAGGGTAATGCAGATCTCTCAGAATAATTTAGGAAATGGTGCCCTTCTATTTTTTTAGATGATTCTGTGTAAAATTAGTATCATTTCTTCCTTAGATGATTGATAAATACATGAGTTAAACTATCTGGTCCTGGTGTTTTCTTTATAGAAGTATATTAATTATTGATGAAATTTCTTTAATAGATATAAGCCTATTCAGATTATTTATTTTTACTTGTATGAGTTTAGGAACAATGTGGCTTTTAAGAAATTGGTCCATTTTATCGATTATTTTGATTACATGTATCTCTTGTTATATATATGTATACTTATGCGTTATGTTTTTGTTTTGCTCAGTGTTATACTCTCAAAGTCTAGTAATGTGTCTGTCATTTATTTATTCTACTTAATCATTTAATTCACATGCTAGTATAATACAGAACCCAACTTAAATAGGCCTATCCTGTGATGATTTTGTCTGTTTTATTTCTGTTGTTGTTGACCACTTTTTAACCTATTAGGTTAAGGCCTATGATTGGCCACTAATAAGTTATTAAGCCACAAGTTTAGTTTGTGTTCTGCCAACACTGCCAACATGATCTTTGCTTTATGAATCTGATGAGATTTGCATTTTAATAATCCAATCATAATTATTTAAACATGCAATGATTATTGACTTTAACCCCCAAATCAGTTAGAAGAAATATGCCTGAATATTTCCAAAGTGATATTTACTTTGTTTAATTTTATTTGTGATGTAAAAAGTGAAGAAAATAACACTTTTCTAAGTGCATTCTGTACATAATTTCCTTCAGAAAAGTACATTTCACCAAAGGATTTTTTTTTTAATTTACAGATCATTGTGAAATGATTCCGGAAAATGAAATGTAATAGAACAGACATTTTCCTAAAGAAGACATACAGATGGCCAACGGGTATAATAAAAGCTGTCAACATCATTAAACATCAGTAAGATGTAAATCAAAACAAAAATGAGATATCACATGACATCTGTTAAGATGGCTATTATCAAAAAACTGATAATGTATTGACAAAAGTATGGAGAAACAGGAAACCTGTACAATGCTGGTGAAAGTATAAAGTGGTATACCCATTATGGAAACAACATAGAGGTTCCTAAAAACATTAAAAATCCCAGCACTTTGGAGGCTGAGGTGGGTGGATCACGGGGTCAGGAGTTCAAGAGCAGCCTGGCCAAGATAGTTAAACCCTGTGTCTACTAAAAATATGAAACTTAGCTGGGTGTGGTGCCAAATGCCTATAATCCCAGCTACTCAGGAGGCTGAGGCAGAGAATTGCTTGAACCCGGGAGGTGGAGGTTGCAGTGAGCTCAGATTGCGCCACTGCACTCCAGACTGAATGACAAAGCGAGACTCCTTCTCAGAGAAAAAAAAACAAATAGAACTACCATACAATCCAGCAATCCCACTTCAGGATGTAAATCCAAAGGAAATGAAATTAGTATGTTGGAGAGATATCTGCACACTCATGTTCATTGCAGTAGCCAAGACATGGAAACAACTTAAGTATCTATTGATGGATGAATAAATAAAGGATATTTGATACATTTAGGCATACTTCAGAGATATTGTGGGTTCAGTTCCAGACAACCACAATAAAGTGACTATCACAATAAAGTGAGTCACACGAATTTTTTGGTTTTCCATAGCATATAAAAGATATGTGTACACAGTATTGTAGTCTATTAAGTACAACAGTATTATGTTTTGAAAAGCAGTAAACATACCTTAATTAAAAATACTTTAGTGCTAAAAAATGCTAATGATCATCTGAGCCTCCATCCAGTCCTAATCTTTTTGCTGGTGATGGATCTTGCCTCGATGTTGATGGCTGCTGACTAATCAGGGTAGTTGCAGCTCAATGTTGGGATGTTTGTGGCAATTTCTTAAAATAGGACAACAATGAAGCTTGCCACATGGATTGACTCTTCCTTCATGAACTATTTCTCTGTAGTATGTAATGTTGATTATAGCATTTTATCCACAGTAGAACTTCTTTCAGAATTGGAGTCAATCATCTCAAACCCTGCCACTGCTCTATCAATTAAGTTTATGTAATATTCTAAATTCTTGTTGTCATTTCAACAATGTTCATAGCATCTTCACCAGGAGTAGATTTTATCTCAAGAAGCCACTTTCCTTGTTCATCCGTAAGAAGCAACTCCTCATACATTCAAGCTTTATCATAGGATTGCAGTAATTCAGTCACATCTTCACATTCCAATTCTAATTTTAGTTGTCTTGCTATTTCTACCACATCTTCAGTTGCTTCATCCACTGAAATCTCAAACCCCTCAAAGTCATCCATGAGGGTTAAAATAAACTGTTTGTAACCTTCTATTAACACTAATATTATGACCTCTTCCCATGAATCACAAATGCTCTTAATGGCATCTAGATTTGTGAATCCTTCCTAAAGGTTTTTAATTTACTTTCCCCAGACCCATCAGAGAAATCAGTGTCTATGGCAGCTATAGCCTTATTAAAGATATTTCTTAAATAATAAGGCTTTTAAGTCAAAATTATTCCTTGATCCATGGGCTGTAGAATGGATGTTGTGTTAGCAGAGAGGGAAAAAAACCTTAATCTGTTTGTACAGCTCCATCAGAGCTCTTGGGTGACTAGGTACATTGTCAATGAGCAGTAATCTTTTGAAAGAAATCTGTGTGTGTGTGTGTGCAGTAGCTCTCAACAGTGGGCTTAAAATATTCAGTAAACCATGCTGTAAACAGATGTGCTGGCATCCAAGTTTTGTTATTCTGCCTATAGAGCACAGGCAGAGGAGATTTGGCATAATTCTTAAGGCCCCCTAGGGATTTTGGAATAGTAAATGAGCATTGGCTTCAATTTAAAGTCAGCAGCTACACTATCCCTAACGGAAGAGTCATCCTGTCCTTTGAAGTTTTGAAGCCAAGCATTGACTTCTCTCTAGTTAGGAAAGTTCAAGATGTCATCTTCTTCCAATAGAAGGCTATTGTGTCTATATTAAAAATCTGTTGTTCAGTGTAGCCACCTTCATTAACGATCTTAGCTACATCTTCTGGATAACTTGAAACAGCTTCTACATAAGTACTTCCTGTTTCACCTTGTACTTTTATGTTATGGAAAAGTTATTGTTTTTCCTTAAACCTCATGAATCAACCTCTGTTGGCTTCCAACTTTTCTCCCACAGCTTCTCACCTCTCTCAGCTTTCATAGAATTATAGAGCAAAGGCCTTGCTTTGGATTAGGCTTTGACTTCAGGGAATGTTGTGGCATCTTTCATCTTTGACTCAGATCACTCAGACTTTCTCCATATCAGCCATAAGGCTGTTTTACTTTTTTATCATTTGTGTGTTCACTGGAGTAGCACTTTTAATTTCCTTCAAGAACTCTCCTTTGCATTCACCACTTGGCTGTTTGGTATAAGAGGCCTAGCTTTTGGCCTGTTTTCACTTTTGGTATGCCTTCTTCACTAAGCTTAATCATCTCTAGTTTTTTGATTTAAAGTAAGAGATGTGCGACTCCTCCTTTCACTTAAACACTTAGAGGCTATTGTAGGGTTATTAACTGGCCTAAGGTTTCTCAGGGCATAGAAAGGCCCAAGGAGAAAAAGTTGTGATGGGAGAATGGCCAGTACATGGAGCAAGTCAGAACAAATACAACATTTAATGATTAAGTTCTCCATTTTATATGAGTGCAGCTTGTGGCACCTCGAAGCAATTGCAATAGTAACATCAAAGATCAATGATCACAGATTGGCAAAACAGATATAATAATAATGAAAATGTTTGAACTATTGCAAGAATTAACAAAATGTGACGCAGAGACACAAAGGGAGTACATCCTGCTTTAAAAATGATTTCAGTAGACTTGCTTGATGCAAGATTGTCACAAAACTTCAATTTTTAAAAAATGCACTATTTGGGAAGCACAATAAATCAAAGTGGTATAAAATGAGGTATGCCCTTATACATACAGTGGAATATTATTGGCCACAAAAAAGTGATACTTCCATTTGTGACAACATGGGTGAAACTGGAGGAAATTATGCCAAGTGAAATAAGACAGGCACAGAAAGACTAGTATCATATGATTTCACTTACATGCAGAGTTGTAAAGAATTAAACTCGTAGAAGCTGATAACAAAATAGTGGTTGACTAGTGTTCAGGGGTGGGAGAAATGGGGAGAAGTTGGTCAAAGGGTGCAAATTTTAAGTTATAAGATGAAAAAGTTCAGATCTAATGTATAGCATGGGTGGTGATTAATGTGTCAATTAATTTGTGATAATCATTAAACAATGTATACATTTATCAAGTTATCACATTCTACACCTTGAATATAAATTATCTTTGTCAATTAAAGACTTTAAATATGAAAAATTAATAGAATAACAGTGGTGAAAAACACCAATGAGTGGCCATACAGTCGTAGAATCGAGAACAAAAACCACTACTACTCTGCTATTATAGTCCAATATGCACAGATAATTTTCCCTTTATTCTCAATAGATGCAGAGCTATGTACTCATTGGCTGTCAACAAGTTTTAAAAATTGTCTATTAGTCTGAATAACAAATGTATTATTACCTCCAGATATGTGAGACCCAGACAGTTGACAATGCCAATATCATCTACTACCAGATATTATGTATGTTTAGTTTCTATGTTAAGCCTTTTTTTTTTCTTAAACAATGTTATTTTCTTTTATTCAGAGTATAAAATGACATGGACTTTCTAAATAATACCTTCTTTTTCTGACTTCATTAATTCTGTTGCTGACATCTCCGTATTCCATGTCACCTATACTTAACATCTAAAGTAAAATTTAAAGCTTTATGTATAGCTACTCACATCTGTTTCTTTTAACCACATCTCTCATTCTTTTGCTTCTCATTTTGGGTGTAGTTTTTCCTTTTTATTATTCTTTTTTCTGTTCTTTCGCATTCTAATTCCCACTCTGTCACTGCCCTTATTAAGACCGTTATTTCTTTATGCCTAAACTACAGTTACTGCTGCAAATTAGTCTTGTGACTTGTAGTTTTTCCCAAATTCAAATCAGTCTTCACAATATTTTCAGTCCAGTCTCTCAAAAAAGCTTGTTTTGTATTATTTTCATTAGCAATGAGTCTAACAAATTCCAGTTAAGTTAATTTGGGTGCAACCTAATTTTTTTAGTTGGTGTCCTAATATTTTCTTCAAGCCCCCTTTTTATTAATCTGTATCAACCTTACTATCTCCTAAATTACTGACTCAGAAGATAATGAATGGCTTAGCATGGTATGTATGTGGATATCAATCATCCCAAAATTACCAAAGATCTACTGAACAGCACTTTATCACAAATAATTTTTTTCTTGAAAATTTTCTATTAATTTTGAAATATTTTTTGTATTAAATAGTGAATAGATACAACCATTTTAATATTGGTAAAAGACATAAAGAACAGCACTAATCCAGCATTAAAAATGTAATGTCACCAGTGTTATTCATGAACCCCATCCCTTAATCCAACCCCTTGATTTCCCACCCTTGGAGGCAATCAGTCATGAATATTGTTAGTCATGTTCTTCTTTTCTTTATCAGTTCAGTACTTACGTATATCTATCTAAAGTTAATACTGTCCCAAACGTAGGATCTGAAACTAAATAATGAAATTGTATTTTACCTATTCTGCCTTTTCTTATCATTTGACTTTTATGTTCAATGTTATCTTACTTCATATTCATCTTTATTGGTGCCTGTATTTGCGGTTTGTTAATTTTTACTACTGTGTAGCATTTTATTGTTTGAATATACTACGATATAATTATACATTGTACTAGGTTGTTCAGATTTTTCACTGGTCTTAACATTTGTATAAATATTCAGAGAAACGGAATTGTTATGTTTGAAGTTATATACATTTCCCACTTTTATAAAGCCAGATTATTTTCTGAGTGGCTGCAAAAATTTATCTTACTCCTATTAGTAGAATATTCTGTATTAGGATAAATATAATTAATTATTCTGGTTTATCCACACTGGCAATGTTTTATTTTGTGGAATTTGGAAAATTTTGCTAGTGTGATACATCTAAATTCATGTTCTCATTGTGGTTTTAATTAGGTTTTCCTATAAATAATATTTCTGTAAATTCAGTTTTATTTTAAATATATTTTCTGTGAAAACAGTAGAAAGGATAAAAACCACTGATAGGCATTAAAATAACTGGATGCTATCTTAGGTATATAGATGTATTTCTGAGGGTATTCATCTGATCCTAAAGAGCATCTGTGCATTCTTCTATACAATGAGTATACAGAAAAAAAAAAAAAAAAACTCTTTTAGCAAGAAAGTAAGAAAGTTTGGAATACTTATAAAGATTCTGCCTTAAAGACCAAAACTACCACAATGAATATATTTCTGAAATTTAAGTATTCATACAACAGCTAATATACAAAGAAACAATTTTTAAAGGAAGAATGTGTTTGTAAATTAGGAATATTTTATCTTATGACTGAAGTGGTATAGATATACCCATATTTCTTCTTTAGCAGTTCAAGTAAGCAAATTATAATATGAAAGTAAACAAGATTTTCCTCCAAGTGATGTCAAGGAAATATTAATGGCTGTTGTTCTTTTCAATGCAGAACATACGTTTCTTCAAAAAATGTAGCATGTTTTTGGTCCTGACGCCAAACCTTTTATGCTGGTGGCATAGAAAATATTGAACACAGCTGTTTATGAGCTACCAACCTGGAGAAATATATAAAATATGGGCTAAATGCCATGCTTAGGAAAAAATTGGTACATTTTCTGTTTTTGTCCAATATTCCACCTTAAAATGATTTATAACACAAGACTACTAATACAAAACATTTTCAGTGGAAGAAAATTGGCCAAGAGAAATTTAAACCATTTATTTTCCAGTGTATAAATTGAATAGTTACCATCCTTTCTTTGTATCTTTTAATCAATCACTCTCAACTATACCAGTTAAATTATGTTTTAATTATATGAATATCAAGCATCATATACTGATCTATTGTATAACGGACTCCAGATCTAAAACAAACACACAAACAAATGACAAAACACTTTTTTTGTATCCTAGACCAACCATTTTGGCACCAGAGACTGTTTTATTAGAAGACAATTTTTCCACAGACAGCAGGTGTGTGGGGCATGGTTTTGGGATGATTCAAGCGCATTACAGTTACTGTGCACTTTATTCCTACTATTATTGCAGTGTAATATATAATGAAATAATTGTACAATTCACCATAATGTAGAATCAGTGGGAGCCCTGAGTTTGTTTTCCTGCAACTAGACAGTCCCATCTGGGGGTGAAGGGAGACTGACAGATCATCAGCTATTAGATTCTCATAAGGAGGCGCAACCTAAATCCCTTGCATGTGCATTTCCCCACAGGGTTCGGGCTCCTATGATAATATAATGCAGCCACTGATCTGACAGGAGGCAGAACTCAGGCAGTAATGCTCTCTGGCCCACAGCTCACCTCCTGCTGTGTGGCGGTTTTTAACAAGCCAAGGACTGGTAGTGGTCTGTGGCCAGGGTTTGGGGGCCCTTGTCCGAAATAAATGTAAAACCAACTTTACGGTGCTAGGTCCAAAGGATTTGTTTAAACACATCATAACTGGCATCTGAACAAATGGACAAGACGGGCTTTATCAAAGCACATTTCTGATTCTGGTATTTCAAGGCCCACTTCAATACATAAAAGTCTATTCTATGAACTTTGAGTTTTCGTTTTGAATTCAATGCTGTTACTTGTTGAAATACTGCTTCAGAAGTCTGTCACCAACTTTCTTCTAAATTCTTCCCCAGATCAGACTTATTTACCAGCCTTCCAAACTTTATTATGTCTTTCACCAGAGGAAGAGAAGAATCTACATGATGAAATGAGAAAAGATTTCAAAGAACACCTAACCCTCACCCTTGACATTTAAAGACTTGATCTTAAATCCTTGCCAAACAAATGTGCTCAGTCTCAAGTAATTCAGAGCAGAGACTGGATAAGAAAAGATAGCTAAGTATATTCCCATATTAGCCCCTGTAGCAAGCCACTGAGTATCTTTTAAAAATTCCTTTTAAATTATATATATTTTGGTTCTTCTCATTTGAGTTTTCTGAATACTGTAATTTAAAATCCTTATCCTTTTCTTCTATTTTCAGTTTTTGTGCTTACATTTGTTTCTCTTATGCACTGTCCTATTTTTACAAAAAGGATTGATTTCATATTAATCTTACTCTTTACATGCTCAGAACTAGGCTCTTTTTGTTGTTGTTTTTCTGTTTCTTCCTCATATGAAGATGAACAAGTTATTTATTTATTTATCTCAAACCTAATGTGGTAATCATAATTTTCACCCTATATACCTTACAATATTTATTTTGTACATTATATCAGATAAAAGAAGGCTCTTTATAGAATGTATGAAGTACTATATAAAAGTAATATTCACTTCTTTCTAGATTTATCCCATTCTATCCAAAACCTAAGAAGGTGAGCAGAGAAGATAATAGTGAAAATCTTACAATGAAATAATGTTATAATATCAAGGCCAAGAAGACAGATTTTATCTAGAAATCCACATAAATAAAAAATGTTTTCTTTTTATAGTTTCTGACTAATGTCACCTAAAATTGGTTCAACAATTATGGATAGCACATCTCAAAAGCAGAGTTTTCTAATTTAAATGGTCCTCAGAGATCATGTAATCAAGCTCCTTCATTTCACAGATGAGCAACTGAAGTCCAGAGGCATTAAGTAATTTGCTCACCATCCAGTGTCATTGCTAGAACCCACTTTTCTTAGCTTTCATTTTAGTACTCCTTTCACTGTATCAACTGGCCATTTGATTGAAAGCCTGAGAAAGCTGCATTGAAAGTCAGAAGGCAATAAATCTAGCTCATCCCTACACTTTTGAAGGTCAACATTTAATTCATTGTCAAATGCTTGAGCTAAAATGTCCTAAATGTAATGTATAGATCTGCTGTCCTAAGATACATAAGCAATCATATTGGGTTGAAACCTTTACACAAATTTGAGGTTATGTTAAAAATCATAACATTAATTCCATGCATCTTCATGCTAAATACTTCTTGTCATATAATGCTTTCCCACTAGCACCAATCAATATAGAAAGATACTGAAAATTTGTAGGCTAGTAAAAGTTTTACGAGTAATAGAATTTTAAAAAATGTATCCATAACATTGATCTGAAGGTACAGAACTCTTCTGAGAAGTTTTATATGGCATTTAAAAATCTTGATTATGTTTAAATTTTTTATCATGCAAAATTGTGCTGTTCTCCTTTGTTTCAGGAAACCTCCACCCTTCAAGCACACTACTGGAGATTTATTAATCTGATACTTGGTTTTCAGATAGAATGAAAATAAGGAAAACACTACAAAGCTCATGCTACCATTATTGATCTTAGGCTTTTGGGGATAACAACCTAAGCTCAGAGGTAGATAATGTTGCAGACACTTTTTCCCATGACAGCTAGCCAAGATCCAGACCAGAATTTTCATCAGTAAAGAATGCTGACCTACGAAGTATATGGAGGGGGACATGGAACATTTAAAGTATCAAGGGCCCACTTACCCTTTATTCTAGCAGTGGCTGAACAAATAAAAGTCAAGGGTTATTGAAAATATATCTTTCTATCACTAGTATTTTTCTGTAGCAGTTATCACCAATGGGCCTAAGGGCTTTGACAAAGGAGCTTTTTAACACGAAAGCAGCAAGAAGCAAGCCCAGAGCTGAGCTGGTCGGAAGCCCAAATGGTGCATTTTAAAAGCAAGCTTGGAGAGCATTAAGCGTCTCTGAGCAGGCTCCCCCTTCCCCTCAGGATCACAGATGCTACCTTTTTAGACTATTTTCTCATTCCTAAGGATCTGTGGGAAATTTGGCCAAATGAGATAACTCTGCAAACAGCCATTCTGAACCCCTCAAGAGTCCCAGTTTTTGTAAGAATGGCTCTCAAAGGAAATGAAGGAGAAGCAAACAGACTCAGAAGAGGAAATGAAAAGTGCAATAAAGTAAAGTTGGGGTAGTAATGAGAAATGGAGATTAAACTTCAAATTTAAAACCTGGTAATTTTCAATGTATTTCTCAAAAATTCTATTTGCAGCTATAAAATAAGAAAAACCAAGTTATCAATATTTTAATTTGTCTTAATATTTTATCATGATTTTTGAAAGTGGTAGATTGGCAGTGGAGGATGATTGGATTTAGATAATCAGTGGGGTCAGGGTTAGTATAAAGAATAACTAGGCCTGGCTGATAATTAGCAAGGTTAGAAGAAAATGTGGCTTCTACATGAGGTGTTGGCATTTGCATACAACAGTGGCTCTTTATTTTTCGTTAAAAATTTCAAACTAATAGAGCAGAGTTTCTTGGGAAAATTTCACGTGCTATGTATTTTGTGAACAGATGACTGTCATGGACTACTCTAGGAACCTCATAGAATGACTAAAGCCACAATTATTTTTCTTCTTTCTAATTGTATCATGTTTATCTATTCAACATCTTCCTGAAAAAATATTTATTAAATGCCTACCATGTGCCAGGTCTGTGCCCACATGTCCTGAAGTCAGGAAAAACACAGACAAGAAACAATAGTTGCACACCACACTTAGGAAGGTGGGCTTATTTATCAAATAAAATCTTTGTCTCTCAATAGGATCAACTTTAGTCTTTCAAGCAATTACCTTTTCTAAAAACAAATAAATAATGTTTATTCCATAATCTGTGTAAATGCTCCATAGTATAGGCAGTCTGCAATGTTGAATTAAAACATCTCAACAGGAAGGACATAAGGAATTCCCTTTCTGACAGAACTCGTTGGTTACTTGTTAGGAATTTCTACTATTGCCTTCCTATGCATTATAGCTACATCAACCTCCCACTGATATTAATGCAATTCATAGAATTAAAGATAAAGATGCTTTTAATTCCAGAAACAAATCCTTCATTATTTAAATAGCTCCACAGGCTGCTATTAAGCATTTTAACAAAACAGAATTACTACATAAAATCAAAGAGTAACAGACATCAAACTAGACCACAAACAATTTCTTCTACGCATTTCTATGGAAGACCAGTATATGGAAAACCTTAAACTTTCCTTTCCATAGGTTATGTATCATATAAATATATTTACTTTAAGGAAAAACTAATATATATTGATTACATATAATGTGCTAGGCTTTATGGAAAATATATCCCATAAAATTATCTCATTTAATTCCTGCAATTTCTCAATGAGGCTGATAGTATTTTTTTCTTTTTTCAGAGAAAGGTAATAAGCCTAGAAAAATGTATGTAACTTATCCAAGGTCATAAAGATAGAAGGCTGAAGGCAAATTTAAAACCTAGGACTAAGAGCAAAGCTTCATGATCTTTGTTCCATATCATGCTGGCTATAGAATTCCTTCATCACCACTTAACATAATGAGTGATAATGGCTAAATCTCCTTTTTCCAGTTTTCATAAAGATGAACTGTTGTGTTTGTATAAATTAAACAAACTACATATTTTATATGCAAGAAGCATTGACAGTTTATCTCTGAATATTTTCAGTTATTTTATTTTTCTAAATATTTTCTTCTGGCAACTATAGGATTTTAAATGACTCATTTACTTCATTACAAGAATTATATCTTACAGTGTTAATTATTTGCTTTAGTAATTCCACATGACACTTTAGAATGTCTGAAAAACAAAAATTGTGAAATGAGACTATTTATTAGCATACAAGTAGTAAATATTTTCATATGATAACACATTTCTCCTATACACAGGAATTACTTATTAGCTATACCTTCATTTGTGCAATTAGGAGGTGAAAATTTGTATTTGAACAGTAGATTGATTAGGAAATGATTATTAACTTTATTAGTGATTATTGGTTTAATAATAAAATATTATTTATTTAAAATTTTTTATTCAATGATTTCTCTGGGTTTCCTTTATTAACAAGTTTAACTATTACATTTAAATATCAATTTATTTAGAAAATGTATTCCCAAAAATTTCTTCACTCCCAAACACACTTTGCAATTCACCTTCTAACAACATAAAGTCATTAAAAAGCTATTTTATTACATGAAATGATGAAAAAGAGTAATAATGTGTTTGGCAATGTGGGGGGAATATATATTTTTATGCAGTGATAGTTGGCAACCTGAATAGAGGGAATTAGTTAATATTTGTCAAAAGTTTTAAGAGTGGGTAGACCTCATCCATCAATTTTACTTCTGAAAGGCATAATTCAGAAAAGCATGCATAGATGCAAGCATATGAATGTTTATTGCAAGATTGCTAATAATACTGAAAAAAATTGACACCATCTAAATATCCTTTAGTAGTCAGTGAGAAAAACTTTTTGTTCATCAAAAGACACTATTAAGAGCGTCAAAAGACTACCCCAGTTGGGAAGAAAATGTATCTAATAAGGGTTTCAATCAAGAATATAAAAAAGAATTCTTAGAACTCAAAACCAAAAAGACAAGCAACCCAAATCAAAAGTGAGCAAAGGACTTGAGTAGACATTTCTCCAAAGAAATTCAAATGGCCAATAAGCACAGAAAAAGATGCTTGGCACCCTTAGTCTTTATGGAAATGCAAATCAAAGCCACAATAAGATACCATTTTATACCAACAAAGAAGGCTATAATTTTTTTTAAATAAGAGAAATAAGTAGTGTTGATGAAGATGTGGAGACATTGGAACCCTTGTGTATTGCTGGTGGGGATGTAAAATGTTGCAGCCATTGTGAAAACAGTTTCTAGAAAGTTAAACATGGAATTATCATGTTACCCAGCAATTTCACTCTTAGATATATACCTCCCCAAAAAATTGAGGACAAGGACTCAACAGACCCTGGTAAACCAATGTTCATAGCAGTGTTATGCAGAATAGCACAAAGGTAGAAACAACCCAAGGGTCCATCAACAGATGAATGGATAAACAAAATGTGGTATGTGCATACAGTGGACTATTACTCAGCCATAAAAAGGAATAAAGTTTTTATATATGATACAAAATGTATGAATCTTGAAAAAATTATGCTAGTGCAATAGGATAGACACGAAAGAACAAGCATTGTATGATTCCACTTTATGCATTATCTAGAACTGAGAAATTCATAGAGACAGATAGAAAATTAGAGGTTACCAGGCACTGGAGGAAGGGGAGAATGAGAATGGATTGTTTATTGAGTACAGCTTTCTGTCTAGGGTGATTAAAAAGTTCTAGAACTAGATAGTGCTGATGTTTGTATAACACTATGAATGTAATTAATGCCACTGAACTGGACACTTAAAAATAGTTAAAATGGAAACTTCTGTTACATCCATTTTACCACAGTAAAAAAGAAGGCAATAGGCTAAATATTCTGAATTCATTCACTATGCTAACGTCAAAATGTTGATGTGTATTTAAAGTGATTGATATAGAAAGATGCACAAAATATATTGTGAAGGAGAAAACTCCACAAATCAGTTCATTTAGTATAATTACATTTGAATGAATAAATATCTGTGGTGTGCTTTCATGTATGTGAAAGAATGCGTGAATTTGTATGTGTATGTGTTTGCGCGTACGTGATAGAGAAAAAATGATATTGATAAAACTGTATACATAGTGAGATTTCAGCTAATTGTGTCTTCTGAACTCTGATGTTGTGCTCTGAATTTATTTTTATATACGGAATTTTTTTAAAAGGAGTCATTATTATTATTATTATTGTTTTGAGACAGAGTCTCTCCTTGTTGCCCAGGCTGGAGTGCACTGGCATGATCTCAGCTCACTGCACCCTCTGCCTCCCGGGTTCAAGTGATTCTTCTGCCTCAGCCTCCCTAGTAGCTGGGATTACAACCATCTGCCACCACACCTGGCTAATTTTTTGTATTTTTAGTAGAGACGGCGTTTCACCATATTGGCCAGGCTGGTCTTGAACTTCTAACCTCGCGTGATCCACCCACCTCGGCCTCCCAAAGTGCTGGGATTACAACCATGAGCCATCGTGCCTGGCCGAGTCATTATTTTTAAAAAGAGAAGAGAAGAAAATGAAGAAAAGTGTATATAAAAGTAGAGAGGCAAAAAAAAAAAAAAAAAAAAAAAGAAGGAAAGGGGCAGAACAAAAAGAAGAAAGAGGAGAAGAAGAAGAACACTGAGGCCAGGTTATTACTCTAAACTTACCTTAGAAATCAATTCTTTTTGGAAGAAAAAAAACAGCAATCTGAGACACAGAGAAGGAAACACAAGACCAGCTTTGGCAGGTGCATCTATTTTTCTTCTATTGAGTACTTTCCATTCAATCTTTTCTCCAGGACAATTGCAGTGAGTATTTCTGTATTAATGTCCCCATATTTTAATGTGGGAAGACAGACAACAAATGGTAAACATCATAAATAAAGATCTTATGCTCTTCTAGAAGATGCTAGTGCTATTGAAAAGTGGGGTGGGTTTGAATTTTAGTTAGGGTGTTTAGAGTATGTCCCACTGAAGAAATAACATTTGTGCACAGACTTGGAGGAGAGTACACTAACTTCAAGTGACTTAAGACAAGTTAAGGCTGGAGGGCTGGGGACAGTTAGTTGGTAATCAAGCTTACTCAGAATGAAAAAAGTAACTTAGAATGTCATTGGAGGAGAACCTCAATAGAAAATCTGTTGCTCTGTAAATTACACATGGTCACATTTGCTTTTGTAATATAAAGCTATATCCTTAACTGGGCTAAAAATAGGGTTCATATGCTTAAATGTAGGGAGTGTAATCTAGAACATTTCCATCTCATCATTGCTTCTTTTGGGCTATGAATTGGAGAGGGGTGCAGAAATCCTAGAAGGATCAAAGGACTCACGTTAATGATTGGAAAACAGTATTTACAGTGAAATGCTAAGAGGATTGATAATCATTTACAACACTATATGTATGTGTACAAATACTTGCATATAATGTATATGTATAAACCAGTCACATGTACATGTATTTATTGCTTCATATACATATATATTTGTATCGGGGAATCTCCCCCGATATTCACATAGGTTCTTTTCTATTTTCCTTAAGTGTCGGCCAGCTTGAGAAATAAAGGGACAGAGTACAAAAGAGAGAAATTTAAAGCTGGGCATCCGGGGAAGACATCACATGTCGGTAAGTTCCATGATGCCCCACAAGCCACAAAAACCAGCAAGTTTTTATTAGGGATTTTCAAAAGGGGAGGGAGTGTGCAAATAGGTGTGGGTCACAGACATCAAGTACTTTACAAGGTAATAGAATATCACAAGGCAAGTGGAGGCAGGGCGAGATCACAGGACGACAGGACCGAAGCGAAATTAAAATTGCTAATGAAGTTTTGGGCACCATTGTCATTGATAACATCTTATCAGGAGACAGAGTTTTGAGATCAACCGGTCTGACCAAAATTTATTAGGTGGGAATTTCCTCTTCCTAATAAGCCTGGGAGTGCTATGGGAGACTGGGGTCTATTTCACCCGTGCAGCCTCGACCATAAGAGACGGCCACGCCCAGAGGGGCTGTTCATAGGCCTACCCGCAGGCGCACATTCTCTTTCTCAGGGATGTTCCTTGCTGAGAAAAAGAATTCAGCGATATTTCTCCCATTTGCTTTTGAAAGAAGAGAAATATGGCTCTGTTCCGCCCGGCTCACCGGAGGTCAGAGTTTAAGGTTATCTCTGTTTCCTAAACATTGCTGTTATCCTGTTCTTTTTTCAAGGTGCCCAGATTTCATATTGCTCAAACACACATGCTGTACAATTTGTGCAGTTAATGCAATTATTACAGGGTCCTGAAGCGATATACATCCTCCTCAGCTGACAGGATTAAGAGATTAAAGTGAAGACAGGCATAGAAAATCACAAGGGTATTAATTGGGGAAGTGATAAGTGTCCATGAAATCTTTACAATTTATGTTTAGAGATTGCAGTAAAGACAGGCATAAGAAATTATAAAAGTATTAATTTGGGGAACTAATAAATGTCCATGAAATCTTTACAATTTATGTTTAGAGATTGCAGTATAGACAGGTATAAGAAATTATAAAAGTATTAATTTGGGGAACTAATAACTGTCCATGAAATCTTCACAATCCACATTCTTCTGCCATGGCTTCAGCCGGTCCCTCCGTTTGGGGTCCCTGACTTCCCACAACAATTTGAATATTTTTAATGTCTCTTCACACATAATTTCTTGGCTATACACAAGCAAAGTGTCAAGTTGCAATTGACTATGTCTATAGTTATCTGAAGTTTCCACCCAGAATTTCTGAATCTTAGGTACAACATGGTCATTTTTATGATGAAAAACTAAATTGCATTAAGTTTGGCTGAACATGTAGATCTTATAGAACAATGGCCTAAGAAATATGTGAACCATTTGTTACTCAACATTTGCTAACTCTATCAATTAAAAACCACATACTAGTCTATGAAAAAATATGTAGAAATGCCTCAGTAGAAATATGACCCGAGATTCTGCTGTGGGCCTAAGTAGCTCTACATACTGAAAGAGGGACAAAATAATTGTGCAATTTTGCAATCACAGACATTCCCAACAATTTAGCAATCCAAATCATAGCTCAGGGACTTGAGTCAAAACATCTTTCTTCACCAGTAAAGGGTCAGAAATTAAAAAATTGAAAAGGTAGAAATGAAAGGACTACACATCAACAGATTATTCTTTTCCTTGATCATACAAATTCAGACAGTCACTATTGAATGCAGGGGTCAAGGGCTGTCCTGAATTAAATTTCTGTCCATCTAAAGTGGGTGGGGGGTCAGCTAGTGGTATTCAATAAAATTGTATTTACTCTATATTACATTCTTCTGATGAATGCCTGCTCTTAGAGACCGAAAACTAAAAATCACAATACCTAACAACTGGGTTAATAATACCATAGTATCAGAATTTCTAGCAATTGAGTATTTTGATTATAAACTAGGACATCATTATACTCTTTGAATAACTCAGTTAAACTTTTTTTTTTTCTTTCAGATGTATTCCCATGGATAAACTAGAAATGGTAGTTAAAAGGGGAAAAGAACCACGGAATTGAAGCTTTGTCCTTGGCTTTTCATTGCTTAACTGGGAGAA
The DNA here is from genome assembly GCF_000001405.40 of Homo sapiens. Classification (NCBI taxonomy): domain Eukaryota; kingdom Metazoa; phylum Chordata; class Mammalia; order Primates; family Hominidae; genus Homo; species Homo sapiens. Next base: position 115,442,462 of record NC_000006.12, read on the forward strand.
AAGAGCTACCAGAGAGGTCTGTAACCTTACTCTGCCATATCATTCAGAATGTCAGCTATAGATCACCTGTGACAAGTATTTAATTCTTTGTCTCACCAGGGACAATCTGCAACCTTCTGTTGGAAGTGAGGTGTTTTGTTTCATTTTAAAGCTGCCAGCAATAGTTGTCTTTTTGGCCTTGCAGTAAGTTCTCTTTCAATTTAGTATTCCCAACTTCTTCCTCGAAAACTTGTGAAAATCATTCCTTTTCTACAGATTTCCATGCCAAATCCTTTCAAAAGTCTATGACACACGTGACTCTTCCCACCATAACAGTGCCTTTTCTTGTTTTACCACAGAAAGCCACATTGAGCTCTTTTGCCTTTGTTTTTGCCAGCTGAACAGAATAAAATATTAAAATACAATGATTAAAGAGGCAGGGCAAATGTGTTTTAGTTATTGGGCTTCTGCTGAGAAAGATATATAGATTAGAGTGAACACAGGCAAGCAGTTTTCTAGGTGATGTGCTGAAAAACATAAATTATATTCTAGTAATAGCTGATATGTACAGTAATTAGAAGGTTCATTCTACCACTAAGAAGAGAATATATGCTGTCAAATATTGCCTCACATGCCATTTTCCAGATCACTGACAGCTTGGTATGGCTCTGTACCTGGGCCATGACAGAGTCACAGAGAAGCAAGATGGATCCTTCAACTCCGAATGGCATCCATCCTGACTGAATTGGAATTGCCACAGTAATGCTTATTAAAAATCAGAAATACCTAAAGTTTTCTCAATTTAATTTCAACTTTAAAAAATTAATGCATAAAAGTGAAACATATGCCATGTTTTCTCTTATTGAAAATGTAATAAAAATATTTGTTGAATGTGTGAAAATAACAATGTTGTAGATCTATATATTTTATTATGATATGAATTTGGCCCTTGGAGATATACAAAAAAAAGTTAGTATTTAGTTTCTCTCCCAAACAGGTTCTCATTGTTGCAGAGATAGTGAATTTAGAAAAGGCTAAAAACTGTTAATTTAAAATGAAAAAGAATATGCATTTGTAGGCATTTAAATACTTTTTTAAAAACTTGGTCTTAAAAGTTGTAAAATCTCTGTCTGAACAATTAAAAATAAACTGGAAAACCATTTTTTTTTTTGCTATAGATGTAAGCTATCTATACAAATGCAAAATAACATGCTTATAAAATAATATTTTCAGCTCATCACAGTAATTCCAGTGTAGATATTCACCAAACTGAATGGGGATAAATTTATTCAAATTGTTTCAAGATTCTAAGTCACTGCCATTTATCAGATAAGGGGCTTTATCTATAAGCTCTCATTTGTATGTGAATCTATGAATGTATCACCTACCCTGGTTTCTTTTTATAATATAATATCTTAAAAGTAATGTGAATTTTAGAAAATAAATATAGGAAGCATAGTTTTTTAACATCAGTGTACTTACAGAGTTAGAAGTACTGCTTCTTTAATTTCATGTGCATTTTTGGTCACGTGCTATGTTTATTCCTTGCATACCGAATTGCCTGTGGGCATGTGGAAAGCTTCAGTAAACTGCATATAATAAGCTAGCTGGAAATTTGCCGTAATTCCAGTGACAGTCATTTTCATATGTGCTTTCTCTGTTAAAAATTTCACAAGTGTGAAGAGACATATTTTCTGTTTGTTAGGCTCTGACTGCATTCCTGACCCAGCCATGCCAGTAAAATATATGCTGGAAAATATTATGGGATTTGTAATAATGTTTTCAAGTGGAACATATCCCTATGGGACATATTTTATGTGTGCTGTAGATACTGGGAAGATAAGCATTCAGGGGGCATGTTACTCAAAGTGAAGCTGTCGCTGGGTAATACAGTACTACAGTAGTTGGGTGAAATGATACAGATAGACTTATTTCATTTTCCAGTGGGAACATTTTAAGCTGACTTGCTGTTAAGAATCTGTAAATTGTCTAAGCAGGGGAAAAAAGCAGCAAGGCTGATAAAATCATAAATAGCTTTTCCATCATTGCTGAAACTCTATAATTTTCTTGTTTATTGCTTGAGTTAATAAAACAAATAAAAGAGGGAATCTCAGAGAGAGATTTCTTTAATACGCAAAATGAATTTCAATGTACTCTCCTGCTGGTATTTTTATGGAAAACCTGACTACATGGTACACATGGAATGTAGAAATCTGCATTTAGATAGAAAAATTATAAAATGCATAGTATGGTGCAAAGTCGGTCTTTTAATGGAGATGGCAAAGTGCTGCATTATACGGTTGAGTGGAAAGACAGCATGCATATAGGTTTTCACATCTTCAGGAACCAAGTGCCCATTTTGCTCAAGAGAGGCCTACATTAGTTTGAATCTTTGACAAATATTGATGAAGCAAAAAATACCAGATGGATATATTTCTCCAAGTGAATTTTTGGTGCTATCTATAGGATATGATTGCAATATATATTTCATATTTTTTCTCAAATGCTTTTGGGAAACAATAAAGATTGATTCTATTAGAAAATATTTCATTGTATTAGCTGAATTTGACTATAAAGAACTCAGTGGTACCTAATAGTTATAGTAAAACAATAGAGGTTCAGAAATACTTGATTCTATTCCTGTAACTGTGTTGTGGGTTACCTAAGAAATTTCACAGTGCCTCATAGCTCAGATAATCTATCTGTAAATTTAAAGATAAGGTAGCCTCACACCAACTATTCCCCAGTGATAAAGGGAGAACTAATTAGTCGACATTTGTCTAGCCATTTGAAAACCTCAAATGAGAATTTCTTTATGCTGTTAGTAAATTTCAGTGTTATTATTGAGCATATGTAAGAGTAGCTATTACATGAGTGAGAAAGAGCTAGTGGTATGGGGATATATAAATTATTGAAATAAAGATAATTGATTTAAAATAAGTACAAGCAGAAGAGGTCATAAAAATTTGAGCTATTTCATATAAACCTTTTTTGGTGATAATACTACATTTGGATTAAGTATTTCTAATGTGTTTAGAGCAGAAAGGAAAAAAATGACACAAATGTGGTAGAATGAACACTTGTATACCTATGTTCTCCTCTGGAATCTTACACAGGTAAGTAGAGTATAAAAGAGATGGCATAATTCCACCAGGAACAAAGAGACTAGGAAAAGAGCTGGCAGTGACAATATTTTGGAAGCTGGAAAACCTGTGTACAAATGACGCCTGATTCAGCAGCATGAAGAAAGCTGAAACTGAAGTCTAGAGGGGCTAGAGCCACGGAGTTAAGCTGACTGCCACCAGAAGCCCTTAAAAGGGCTCAGAAATTACCCCCACTGAAGTAAGGTTTCAAGTCGGGCAGGAAAGGGAAAAACCTGCCTGATAAGCAGTTCAATGCTCAGAGCCTCTTCCTCACCATGACAGAGGTGTGGTAGTTGGCTGTTGTAGGGGTGGCACCTTAGGAGCCCTAGATCTGAAACACAAAGTTTACTGAAGGTAGAAAGTTTCTGCTGAAAACTGCAAGTAAGTGAAAGTCTACAAGTGGTAAAATCTTCATTGAACTAAATCTTATTTTTTATAGTAAAAATGCAGTAATAAGTGCAGAACTGAAAAATTTAAAAACACAATATATAATTCTTATTTGGAATATGTAAGCAACTACTAGGGGAAAAAGTAACTAAAATGGCTAAAAGAGGTAACAGCCCATGTTGCATAGAACTGCAGAGGAAGGGAGGGGAGCAGTGAATGAATCTATCTCTTTATAAGCTTGTAGAATAATTTTACTTTAAAAACCACCTGGAAGCATAATTTAAAAAATTAAAATGAAGAACTGATGACAATGTTTATAAAAAGAATGTACACAACACACTAAGCCAAGAATGAATGAAAGAACAGCATGTAGATATATTCATAATGAGCCTTGTTTATTTAAACACAAAATCTGAAGGATCTGGCAAAATATTTTAGTAAAGTGTAAATAAATCACTTGATGGTTGGAAAGTGTAGTTTTCTTGCTAACCATTATTTTCCCCTACTCTAGAAAGAGTGTATTTACTGATTTTTATTTTTATTTTTTTTTGAAATGAAGTCTCGCTCTTTTCCCCTGGGTTGGAGTGCAATGGTGCGATCTCGGCTCACTGAAACCTCCGCCTCCCAGGTTCAAGCGATTCTCCTGCCTCAGCCTCCTGAGTAGCTGGGATTACAGGTGCCTGCCACCATGTCCAGCTAATTTTTGTATCTTTAGTAGAGACGGGGTTTCACCATGTTGGCCAGGCTGGTCTCAAACTCCTGACCTCAGGTGATCCGCCCACCACGGCCTCCCAAAGTGCTGGGATTACAGGCGTGAGCCACTGTGCCTAGCCTACTTATTTTTAAAATGCCTCCTCCAAGCCCATTTTTATAACTGAATGTAGTGAATGCTTTGACTTAACCTTGGGTTTGCCCCTTTACTCAGCTTTAAAACAACTAAAAAGACAATTTTAGCACAAGTACAGCACACTGTCAGGTTCATACTCATCATATAAACAAATATATTGCTTTAACAATACAGTACACTACAGTTATATACTAAAAAGAAAAAGGAAACCAAAGATTTACATAATTAAATATAAGAGATAGAGTTTGTTTGCACTGACTCTTTGAGAGAGCTTAAAATAAATGGGATAATGTAATACGGTAACTATAGGTGGGAATTGAACAATGAGGACACTTGGACACAGGAAGGGGAACATCACACACCAGGGCCTGTTGTGGGGTGGGGGGAGGAGGAAGGGATAGCATTAGGAGATATACCTAATGTAAATGACGAGTTAATGGGTTAAGCACACCAACATGGTACATGTATACATATGTAACAAACCTGCACATTGTGCACATGTACCCTAGAACTTAAAGTATAATAAAAAAAAAATATATATATATATATAAAAGTGACACACGTTTTCTAAACTCTAGTCTCTGGATATATGGCATAGTCCTAGATCATTTGACTGAAAGGGAAATATTACAGAAGTATTACAATCCTTTGATAGTTAACATAGGAAATGCTCTCTATAGACAGCCAAATGCAGTTTTGCTACCACCTCGTTTATTATAATCTTTTAAATTTAATTAACTCAAGAGTCTTTGAATATTCCAAATATGTCTTTCTGCAAAAATCGCCAGAAGTACTTCAGGGCACATTTGCATTCATTGCATTACAGTGTCTTACCACTAAAAGTAATGGAGATATTGCATAAGGTGTGTCTTGGGCTTGCCATGGACCTCTCCTTCTCCAGAGGTTAATGGATGACTATACTCTAGATGAATTATCAAATATAATATCCCACCATAGGTACCATCACCTGGGAGGCACATCTAGGTGAATAAGCTAGTGGCTATTATTTTACTATGCTTTCAACTTTAAACATGACTTTCAAGCATTTACATATTGTACTAATGGTGGATGTTATTGACTTGAAGAACAGCTTTTTTTTTCCGTCCTGCTTTTATTTTCTAATCTTCTTATTTCATTCTCTAATCAGGAAAAACAAATGAAGTCTTCTCTCCTTCTACTGAAATGCTACCATTATGAAAACAATAGCAATAAAAATGTTTATGAAACATTCATAATTTGCAAAAGAAAATTAGAAAGAATCACTATTATTAAAAACATATAGTATAAAGACAATCTTAATTAGCTGGTTCTATTCTTTACATATCAATTATTTGACACGTTCAGAATATAAAATGCACAGCAAGGATTTTGTAGTTATTTAAATAAAAAATAAATATAAATTGTTATAGATGTATGAAGCATATTATAAAATTAAATGCTATAGCATCCTCATGAATCTTTGACTCTGTACATATTCCTAGGCATGATTCAAGGAGTAAACCAGAACATAATCCACATATCTACCCAGAAAAAAGGAAGGATGAAAATGACAGATGGACCAGGTTTAATATTACAGGCATTTGCAACTAAACAGCCTGGCTTTCTGTTTAAACTCCTCGGGCTTTACTCTCAGAGTTTATTATATCATCCAGATTCTTCAACTAAACTTCTGATTGTTGTTAATGCCAAACACTACCTTAGGCTATTACGAGAATGTGGTTTACCCTGTCATTGGTTCTTACATTATTAAGGAAAGCAGGCTGAGCATATATGACTTAACCAATAATAGAAAAATGCTATGGAATTTCCTACATTGCCTTTAGGATGAGTAAACATTAGAATAACAAGGGATCTGTTTTTAGGGAATGAGTAGATCTTAGAATGCTTAATTTCTTCTATGGACATAATATCTTTCATACTCTACCACAGGATTCCTTTTAAATGTCTACATTCATTAGTATTAGGACGTGTCCTTAGATGTAATCTAATAAGATTTTATTTTTAAAACCAAAGCTCTTTAACCTATTTCATTAAATTTCCTTTCCTGTTAATGCAGCAGTTCAGTAATAATTAGGACTGTGATGGATTAATGATTGATAATTTTCCAAGTTACTATTGGCAAGCTGTAGTCACAAACCTGCATTATTGCACTTCATCCCTGCTCTCTGGCATATTGAATGTAAGCAGACTTGCTTTCCTTCCCTCTGTTTAATGGGCTGGAAGGGATTGACTTGGACCTGCAGTCTGCTCATTTCTGTGATTGATGTATTTTCACTTAAATAGCGTAGATTTGTTTTGCAGTTTGTGTTGCTGTTGAGAATAGATTTAAGGGAGACCTGACATATCATTAATCCTTCCACTCATATTTTAGATCATATGAACATAGCAAAAATCACTATAATGAAGAGAAATAACATTTCTTTATCGAATATAATGCTATAGTAAGAGGAATTATAAATAGGTTAATAGTTTTTAAAATAGATGTCTATTATTTTACTATAAAATGAGTCAACTAATATATTTTAGGTATCTATGAGTAACCCATGGAGATTAAGAATTTTAACATAAATGTTAATAAAATTTTGTATCACCATTTGGACTTTGTCTAGCAAGCAACAGGGAACCATAAATATTTTGTTTTTCTTTTATTTTTAGCATGGCAGGTATACTACTAAATCTGTTTTTAAAATTATGATGCTGCTTTCTCTGTGAATGACGGATTGGAGTATAAGAGACTCTGAAGGCAGAGAGACTGGCTAAGAAGCTATTATAGTGTTCCAGGTGAGAGGTGGAGAGTGATGCTGAAAAATGGGAAGTATTGACCTATGCCAGCGGTTGTGGAGAAGCAGAGAAGGGATTGGGTGAAAGGGAGTCTGGAATCATAGAAATAGTACTTAGAAGCCAAATGATTATTTGCCTGTGAGTTTATGTGTATGGGGTTGGAGGGGAAAGGTTGAGAACAGGAAAGAGGGTGTTAAGCATAATTATGATCACACTATTTTAGGCAGCTGAAAGAAGGATGATACACAACAGACGTCACACCAAATGCCACCAATGTCTGTTCTAAAAAGAGAGGTAGGGAGTCTTTTTTTTTTCTTTTCTGCATGCAAACACAAGTGCATAAGATAAAGAAACATTCATGGAGTACACTTTGGCAGACACTGTGTAGACCTGAGTTGTTCACTGTATGCATGATTTTTTTCCCTACCAAAAGCCTGTACTGATATCAAAGAGATAGATACCTAAAAAAGATAATCTTAAAATAATTTCTCTATGATACATTTTTTTTTCACCAGGTTTTTAGTTGCAAATAGTACAAGAAAGCCACTTAATCTGAGTGACTATCAGAAAAATAGGTGTAGGGGTCTGGGCGCAGTGGCTCACGCCTGTAATCCCAACACTTTGGGAGGCCAAGGCGGGTGGATCACGAGGTCAGGAGATCCGGACCATCCTTGCTAACACGGTGAAACCCCGTCTCTACTAAAAATACAAAAAATTAGCCAGGCGTGGTGGGGGGCGCCTGTAGTTCCAGCTACTCGGGAGGCTGAGGCAGGAGAATTGCTTGAACCTGGGAGGCAGAGGTTGCAGTGAACCGAGGTGACGGCACTGCACTCCAGCCTGGGGGACACAGCGAGACTACGTCTCAAAAAAAAAAAAAAAGAAAAAGAAAAAAAAAAGAAATGAAAAGAAAAATAGGAGGTATAAAGTAAAAATGGCTTCTTCTTTTGTTCTGATCTCTCCACCTCTCATCAATATCATTGATATTTGGCTTTCATGTTTCTAAAAGTTTTTCTGCCACAAGCTGATTCTTTTTTTTTTTTTTTTTTTTGAGACGGAGTCTCACTATGTCGCCCAGGCTGGAGTGCAGTGGCGTGATCTCGGCTCACTGCAAGCTCCGCCTCCCAGGTTCATGCCATTCTCCTGCCTCTGCCTCCCGTGTAGCTGGGACTACAGGTGCCCGCCACCATGCCTGGCTAATTTTTTTTTTTTTTTTTGTATATTTAATAGAGATGGGGTTTCACCGTGTTCGCCAGGATGGTCTCGATCTCCTGACCTCATGATTCGCCTGCCTCCGCCTCCCAAAGTGCTGGGATTACAGGCGTGAGCCACCGCGCCCGGCCGCCCCAAGCTGATTCTTTAAAAAGGAGGAGAAATTTTGAGGCTAAGCATGAACAATACATCCAGAAACCTTCCTAACTCAATTAATAATAACTCCACCTGAACTTCAAAGTAGTCATTTTGTTTACATAGTCCTATATTACTAACTTCTCGTGAGCAGCCACCTAAACTTTTTATTTAATAAAATTATCAAATCAGAACATTTTTATGCTCTTTAACCACTTCTTAGACATCAATAATATATCTGATTTTATTACTAGGATAGTCTACCCAACCAAAACCCAACTATGAATACCAAGCTCTCTAGGATATCTATTTGTGGACCTTCATCATTTGGGTTAATGCATCAATGCATTGTAATAGAAAGCAGCACCGGATCCTCCACCTTGGCAAGATAAACTATATGATTTTTTTTTTCTGTACAGTTTAATTTTTAGGAATGTTTGCCTCCCACATAGCACTTTTCAGCAACAAATACCACTTAATTACAGCTTAACATACTTCAACAATTTACTACTGAAACAGTGCAAATGAATTTTTTAAAGTGAATATTTTTAAATATAAAGAAAAAATAAAATGCCTTCAATTCTAATATTCTATATGTTTTAGAGAGAACATTTTTTCCTTGCACAAGACCAAATAGCAACAATAGTTATTCATAAAAGAGATTCCAGTTTTGTGCAAATCTCTAAGTATGTACCTACAAAAGGCATAATGATTAACCTATTTAAAGAGCTCATTTCCAAATACTACCAAGTGTTTGCTATTTTTTATTGTAATACATAATTTTAAGAAATCCAAGAACCCTGCAATGGAAATATCCAGCTTATTTATCCACATTTTTTCTTTCTGTATTGTCATCATCTCCTGTTAATAATTTGAAAATTATTTCTGATAACATTTACAAGAGACAAATAGTGTATTCAGGTAAAGTTTATAAGAGACAAATATCATAAAAAACCACGGGCAGAAATATTCTAAATTATTACAGCCCATTCAATAAATTATACACCAAAAATACCAAATGCTTCAAGTATAATCTATTCTGTTCTGTTTTACAATACTTCTCCTTAATTAAAATTTATTCATTGGTCTCCTAAAGGTATTAATATATTTCAAGAGAGAAAAATATTGTATCTTGTTATGATGTTTACACTAAGCACACGCCTAAAAGAAATGCATAAGAAACTGTGTAATTAACGACATGAAAATTCTAAACTTCAATCAGAAGGGATTTTATACAGACAATACGTTACAGTCTTAACTGTCAACATTCTGGTGGGTTGAATTGTTCTACTCTACTATTTTAATTGTTCCATTTATTAGGTTTGGCTTTTAAATATTTTAACAACCCAGTACAGTCAAAAGTATAGAGATGATATTTTTAAAAAAATTAAAAAGACAGAAAAAGGGATTGCAGATATCTCTAATGCAACACCTTTTTCAAAAAAAATTAATTAAATGCTTTCAAAATTGTTTTAAGATTATAGCCAATTATACTATTCTTTTTTCTTCCTTATTAAGTCTGCCACCTTAATAACCTGCTATTGGTGTTTTTATTAAAAGAAATGATTGTTCTTTTGTTTTAGCACATTTTATTTTACTTTACTTTCAAATGTTTCTATGACGATAATAACTTTTCTATCAGAAATATTCTGGTTCAATAATTTTATTAAATATAAATTTGGGATTTATATTAACAAGAGAAGGCTTATTAACACAGGCCCATGCAATTGAGTATTAAGGAAAATGACTACCTTGAAAACAACTGTTACAGAAAAGCAGACAGGAATTTAAAATTTTAAACCTAAACCAAAGCCATGTTTTTCTGTAAGCTAAAATACTCGCTCTTTCCTATACAGCAAAAATGAGAGTATAAGAGCCTGTGGAAATGCAATTTGTGTTCAGTATCCCAATACTTATCATCTGTTTCCTAATATGTTGAACACTAAAGGACTTTGACCAGTCAAAAATTGTACGTATTATACTGACTTTTTTTGCGTGCAGTAATTTACATGCAGGAATGCAAATATATTTAGTAAACAGTCCTGTGAATTTTGAAAAGTACATATGCCCATGTAATCTAAATTTCTACTGAGACATAGAACATCTTTATCATGCTAAAAAGATCCTTCATGATAACTTCAAATTGCTATAAGTAACATACTAAAAAAAGAATTGTCAAATTTGAGTGTTAAAAGAGACAAATATATTGTATATACAAAAAAAATGTATCTATGTAACCTGGAAGTATGAAATAAGCAAACTGGCAAATATATGGAGCAGAAAATAAAACAGAGTATCCAATATTAACACTATTCAACTTAAATATCAGGTTCTGACATCTAGTGACTATAGACCATGTTTGCTTGTAAATATCCTACAATGCACAGGACAGCCACTACCCTCAACTTCGAGTAAAGAATTATCTGGCCTAAAATGTCAATAGTGGCAAAGATGAAAAGACATGATCCATATCAAATCTCATACCTAATACAAGAAAATACACAAAGAAAATTTTAAAATATTCTAAACTTTAGAATATATATCATATTCTCTAAATGAAGTTCAGTTTCAAACTCTATAAAAATTTAATAATTATCCTTTAAACAATTCCTCGTTAATAAGAGTCAAAATAGAAACTACAGAACAATTAGAAAAAGAGTTTTAAGAATACTCTATATATCAGCAAAAGAAACAAACACTTAAATGTTCAGAAGCTAAAGAATGCAAAAAAGCTAATTAGGTACCAAAAAACGAAACAAGAAAAGGAACAAAAATAAATATACCTAAGGTGGCTAGAAAAGTGTAACTCACAAAGTAAAAGTAGAAATTAATGATTTAGAAAACAAAAGAAAAAGTAAAATACAAATCAAAGAGCAGATTCTTTAAAAAGGAATCCAAATAAGATTAAAAACTACCAACTAATATAATTTGTAAAAAAAAACAGAGAATGCAGAAACACACAATAGAGAATGTGTTTGCAAATAATTACAGATTTCAGAAAAAACAAGAGCAATATGAGACTCTTGTCTTTATCTCTACAAAAATAGATGCAGCAACTACACGGAATGATTGATTTTCTATGTATATACAGAAATTGACATTCATTCTTTTGTAAAACATTTACTAATAAAATAGCATTACAATTAATAATTTTAAATAGCACTTCCATTAAAGTCAAGAAAAAGACAAGTACATTTAATATTACTTAGTATTATTGGAAGTTATCAAAAAAAGAAACATACTATGATGTGTAGAATCTTTAAGTATTATTAGATACTTGGAAATTCTAAGAAACAACAAAAATGCTAGTAAAGATAAGAGATTTCAGTATCAGTACAGCAGTTGATTCCAACAGTGATAAAATATTACCAACATGACCATATTCAAATATGATAAAAGAAAAAATACATTGGAAGAAATGACACCTGCTAAAAACAGATTTACCAAAAATGTATAGAACTCTATCTGCACATTAAAAACTGTTTTGAGGTGCAAAGAAGTCAAAAAATAAATTTTTTAAAAAACCACATTCTTAGTGTCAATATTGTAAAGATGTTATTTCCCCCAAACTAATCTATAAATGTAACTGGAGCAAGGTAAAAAATTAATAATAATAAGTTTTATTTGCATTGTAACAAACTGATTTCAATACATGTGGAAAAATAAACACAAAATAACCTGTAAAAATTTCAGAAATAGGAATAATGTGAAGGCAATGACCTAGCGGATATTAAGACACAATGGAGTAGAGTAATTAGAACAGTTTGGTAAAGCTGTAGGAAGAGAAAGACAAATCAGTGAAATTTAATAGTCAGAAAAGCCTTAACAATTTGATAAGTAACAAAGAAGACATTTTTTATTGTTGTTAGATCTCTTATTTCTTTTTTTTCATTTTCTTTAACTTTTAAGTTCTATGGTACATGTGCAGGCTATGCAGATATGTTACGTAGGTAAACGTGCCATTTTCAGGCAGTGTGGAAATATTCACATGATATTGGGATAATGGACTAGCCAATTGCAAAAATAAAATTATTAAATATTGTGCCACATTTTATGCCAAAGTAATTTTTAAATGGATAAATATTTAAATGCAAAAAGTAGATGGTTAAAGTATGCAATATATAGTAAACCCATAAAGAAAACACATAAAGGAAATTGTTTTAAATATTTGCATGGGAAAAATGTCTGAATCCAAATTACAAAAATCAAATCATAAAATATTTGTAGAACATACAGCAAAGAATATATTTCCTAATACAAAACAAACTTTTACCAATTAATAAATAAACAATTATAAATTTTAAGAAAAAAGGCGGCAAATTTATGAACGCAGGTTGAATGGTGAGATATCAACAACAACACAAAGAAATAGCTCATAAGTTTAAGTAAAGAATTAAACTTTTTGCCTGAACAGACCTAGAGCCACCTGGAGCAGTGACTTTGCATCTGCCATATATTCTCTGAGTATGATTCAAAGATTCATACGCTTTGAAACTTCTAAACTAATATAAATATGAAATATGAAATAATAACAGCCCTATATGACTGATTTGTGGATTCCACCTAGATTTTAAAAGGTATGATATCATATGGATGTTTTGGGCTTGCATGATTATAACATAAAAACATGGTGAAAACTCAGGAATGCAATTTCTCTATGTCAAGGCAAACCACTTTTATCCCATCTCCTAAAGATGAATACCCCACATGTAAAGAGGAGTTGGGTTTGAGGGGAAAAGGGAGTTGCCTACAGGGGCTTTATTATTAGGGCTCTATTAAGGAGGCTGCAGATGGGGGCTTTGTATGGAAGCTTCAGGATCTCTAACTGAAATAAAAATGTGGTGTATTTAGTATTTTCCATCCAGGATCTATCTATAAAAGCTAAACTAGCATAGTATTAAAGTTATTCTGCCTTGTCAGTTTGACTGCTAATCTGAACTTGTGTTTAGTATTAGGACGTATGTACATTAAGTACTCTCAAATTAAAATGCAAATTAAAAGAAAAATAAGAAATCATTTTTGCCTGTTATATTGGTGGGGTTTCATACTATTGGTGAAGATGTACAAAAATAAATATTCTTATATTTTAAAAGATACTTTCTTAATATCTATAAAAATCAGAAATGCACACACCATTTTCACCAGCCATTTCACTTGTTGGAGTTAATCCCACAGAATAACTATTACATGCATGTACAAAATATATGAATAGGCATGCTGCTTTTGGCATTGTTTATGATACAAAACTTTCTATCTAAAATATTTGAAATTAATTAACTTTAATACTAATTACTAGAGTACTCTTTAAAAATTGTGATACATGTATTTAACAAAATACCAAGCAAACATTTAAAATAATGAGGAAAATATTGGAACATACACATATAGAAAAGAATACTAAGAGTTATCTTATGTGAAGAAAGCAAAATAGAAAACTGTATGAATTTTTTAATTTATTTTTTAAAGTATGCACAGATGCCTGTTTTCCTATGGAGAATTTCTTGTTGAACATCCCAAGACTATTGGCTATTTTGAGACATAGGGCTGAGTTTCTGGAGTGGCAAGTGTATTCCTTTATTAATCTAAAATCCTTTGATATTGTTTGTTTTTACCACATGCATAAGCTACTTGAATAATAATACATATGCATTAAATATATACTTAAAATTTTTCTCAGAGTAGAGATTATTTTCAGAATTAGAAAGAAAATACTACATTTGTAAAATACATGTTCATTGAGACTAGTCTGTAATATACCCAACAATCTGTATTACGTATGTGGTAAATCAATTACATTAATGGATTTCATTCTTTACCCCTCCCAGCATTCAGGACCTTCACCGTATGACTTAAAGCTCTTCTCTCTAAAAGGCAAGGATTTATTTCCCTACACTTCAATTCTAGTTTATCTGGTGGCTTGTTTTGGTCAATGAAATGTGGCAAAAGTATGGTGTGCTAGTTAGAAGCCTAATCACCAAGAAGTCTTGCATATTTTGGCTTGCTTGTTCTTGCCCTCTACCATGGCCATGAAGACATTCTCAAGGTAATCTGCTGCATAAGAGACACAGAGACACATGGAAGAGAGCTAAATTGCCTCCATTGTCCCTGCTGAGGCCATTTAAATTACACAACAGCCAACTGATCCATTGAACTGTAAGTACAGCCAAGATCAGCATAACCAAGAATGTCATTCACCTACAGCTAATGGCAAATGCATGTGAGCATAGTGCTTATTTGCCCAAATCAGCTTCACATACTGGTGAATTAAGTAAGTATTGTGGGGTGCCACTGAAGTTCTGTGGTTGTTTTGCAGCATTATTATACACAAAGAAATACCAAACTATTAAGGTGATTCAAGTAATTGTTTTTATTTTTCAGGCAAATGGCATAAATCCTTGGAATAAGAAACATTGTACAATTGAAATAAAGTAATCTAAATAAAATGCCTCCCTTTGTTCTCATTTGGAACCCTGGAGAGAATTTTCTGGCTTTGTTGTTGCTTTTCTAAGGTTTTTATAACAGAAATACTTCTCAAAATGTAATTTAAAATTACTTGAATCAGAATTAACTAGAGTGTTTCAAATAACAAGGCAGGTTTTGTTACTGGCCTACAATAAGTGAACCAGTTGATTATTTGGCACACTTACTTTGACTAAGATTTGAGAATTTCTGCCCTGGGACAACAGATAAAGACTCATCACTTATTTTTTTTTTTCTCAAAACAGCAACAACAAAAAAGATTCTTATGAGACAATCTGAACAAGCACTTAAAGATGCTTACAGTTAATTTGGAAATAGTTGCTGCTGCTCTATATTAATACCAAGTAATGACACAACTACAAAAATTAGAAAGAATTAGGAAATTTCTGCATTAGAAAATATCCAAATATAGTAATTGATCTTATCTACAGTAGATACAAAAGGAACTTTGATTGCATGTTCATTTAAGATTCTTTGTACCAAGAAGTATAACTAAGCATACAAATCATTTATGGTTTATCATTTATTTCTACACAAAAGACAAACAATGTGTCATTAACATCCCAAGCAAAGTCACCAGAGGAAATCTCATTCCAATTACTTTGTAAAGAGAATAAACACAATAACTGCACTTCAACAAACTCACTGTGCTTTTTACAACAGATATAATGCTTCAGATGACAGATGCAGTGAATATAAAATTTCAGAATCATTCCTCTTTTGAGAATATTCCACGACAATGTGATATTTTAGTTTCTCAGATGTTTGCTCAGAAGTTGACTAAAAGCTGATATTAATCCTCACTTTCATTAATATAAAAATGAATGAAACATTAAACCCAAACTATCAACTTCTAGTAGATTTCTTGCCTCTAGTGTCTCCGATAAATATTATATATGATGTCTACAGTTTATTTTGTGTATTATTTGGAGTCTTTTGCATCAAAAATAAAGCACCTCTGAAACCCTAACAATTAAAGATGCTAGGTGTGTATGATGGATCATATTTGTTGCGAGTATTTGGTCCTGTTACTGTGAAGAAAGAAATCGCTCTAGTCTGGGTCCGTATTTTATTCTTCTGTTTTCTGCTCCAAAGGCCAATGTTGCATTTAGTTTGTAGTAGACCCTCAATTCATGCCAGTAGAATGAATGAATAATGTTTGCTCAATGGGGAAGTAAAGGAGGTTCTTTTTTTGCGTATTCTATTGCAAAATGGACACACTCCAAATGGGAGGCACTTGCTGAGGAGATGAGATGCTGGTGCAATATTGGTAAAAATCCACTAAACATATAAGGAAAGCAAGACCTGCTTAACACAAGCATAGTTTATTCTCTGAGCACTCCAATTCTGTTACTCTAGCTTTCTCTGTATACACTATGCTATTTTACTTTTATTAGAATTCTTGTAACTGTGTTTTCATATATATGAGCCTAAAAACAAATAGCTTGAGTATAAAAAACAGGTGAAACCTCATATTTATAATTCATACTACTTTTTATTTCCAAGCAGGCATTATAAATATCAAGGCCTTTAATTAGGATAGAGCACTTTATAGTCAGAAATAGTGAAATCACCTACAGAATAGTAAGTTAAAGCATTTTGTGGAAAGGCCAAAAGCTATCATTATTCACATTTTTACGTTTGACAAACCCTTTAAATCTATTTGTATTGGGAGATATAAATTCTACAACTAGGATGGTGGCAACTTCATTGCCTAGGAACCACTTTTAATCTAGGCCACACCCTGAATTATACTGTTTTCTGACTTTTTGAAATTTATTTAAACTATTATTTTATTGTTTTTTTTCTATTCAAAGCATGTTTAATAGTACTTCATATCACCTTAACTATTTCCAAAACTATTAAGTGGTAGTGAAACCAATATTTCAAACAATACTAACTTTGTAATATATATTTTAAAATGAAATAATAGTAAAGAAGGGTTTTTCAGCCATATTTTTTTTCCATTTGAAAATTTCCTTTCTTCTTTTCCAGGAACCTTATAAGGAGTTTTACTACTAAGCATTACAGAATTTCAGCTTCATATTATTACTAAACTCACCTCAGTAAAATCTCCTGAGAATGACCTTCATTTTGTCAGTGATTTAAGATAAAAATTCATTTTTCTTTAGAACAAAAAGAGTAAGCTAAAGTAGAGTTGAAACTTCTTTTTTCCACAACAAATTTTAATTTGGTGGTAGTATTGAATGTAATTTGCTTTAGTTACATGGAAATTAGGTCTTTGAGAGCACAGCATTCTCATGAGGAAATTAATTTCAGGACTGTTTTGGAATAATCAGGCAGCCAGGAGCTGTGCAGGCCTGACAATGGCTCTGTGGACTGTCTCTTACCATATCTGATAATGTGGCATCTTGCTGTGATGGTCTAAAATACAAGTGCTGATTGGGAGGAAAAAAAAAGGTAGGTTAATAAATGTTTAGAAAATAATTTTTTCCATATTTTAATCTCCAAGTGATCTAAGCCAAAATCATTTTAGTGTGTTCAATGTTTTCAACAGGGCAAATGCTCTTTAGCCAACATTTGATAGATATTTGAATTTATGTGTTGATAGAAAGAGGCACCACTGGACTCCAACTTTGAACC
Source organism: Homo sapiens (assembly GCF_000001405.40). Classification (NCBI taxonomy): domain Eukaryota; kingdom Metazoa; phylum Chordata; class Mammalia; order Primates; family Hominidae; genus Homo; species Homo sapiens. The sequence goes on from NC_000006.12 coordinate 115,460,027, forward strand.
ACTATGATGATTGCCAGTAATAGTAAATGTGTTGCTGTGCCATCAGGTGTGCATAAGCACCCTGAAAATTGTTTGCTGTCCAGAGGTTCAGTATGAAAGTTGTTTTATTAATTGATGATTCTCAGCATACCTTAACATTAATGGAGACCAAGTGAAATTAATATTTTAATGTTGGATGTGCAACTGGGTCTTTTTACATTGTCACTAAATCCTACTTATTTTCTCATATATCTAACCACTAACCAGATTTTGTTAATTCTTTTCTGAATGTAGCACAAATTTATCCTTTTCTTCTCCACTGATATCATAATCCTGACTCAGTCTGTCATGAGCAACCAAATAATAACTATGTACCACTGAGTGTCTCCTGTGTGTCGACATTTCCCCCATTACTCATTGGATTCTTCGAACCACCCATCAAGGCAGTATTCTTGTTCAAACAGCATGTTTCTAATAGGGTTGCATAGGCATTACATTATTATTATAGATATGTATTGAATATCTATAAAATGGACTTAGCAGAGTGACCAGTAAATTTAAGTACTCCACAACTGTTATCCATCATCACCAATCATCATCCTCATTATTATTACCATGTTACACATGGAGAAAATAAGGTTCTTAGAGGCTAAATTTTCCAAGGTCAAAAAGCTACAAAAGAACAGAGTCAGGATTTGAACCCAGATCTGCCTAATTCTAAAGCTCCTGTTCCAAATGCCTATCATAGCCTGTTACTTTGCTTTCCATTTCTCTTAATAATTCAACAAATATATTTAATGCAATTGATATTTGCACAAAATGGTGAAAGCATAAAATAGATGTGTTCCTTGCTTCAAGTGCTTCAAGGAGCTTAGTAAGGGCTATAATGCATAAACATGTATACACTAAATCATACTAATTAGTGTATGCATGAAGCACTCCATTATAGCCTTTACTAAGTTCCTTGAAGCACTTAAAGCAAGGAACATATCTAATGTAGCAAGCCAGTGTCTTTTACCTAAAGAGAAGATAGTAAATAATTAAATATATGCATTTAAATATCTATAATGAAAAACAGGAAGTGAAAACATGCCATAAGAAGATAGGCATAAATGTGGGAGGTCAGAGAGGAGAGAGAATTTTCAGCAGGAAATAAGAAAGGCTTCATGCAAGAGGTAGATTGCCTTTAGAGGGATCCATTTTCCCATCTCTTCAGCAACATATAAACAGTTTCTCGGTCCCCATATCAACACTGCTTCAAGATCAATCTTCCATTACTGCAATATTCATTGTGTCATTTTGTCATTCTAGTTCCTACACTGGGAGTGGTATGGTATATTAAAGAGGTTGTTGTCTCAGGAGTTAAAAAACAAACAAAAAACAAAACAAAACAAACAAACAAACAAAACACGTACTCTGCTACTTCTAGCATTCCATTATTTCCTCTGTAAAGTCCAGGGGGGGAAAATAAGCTATCAGAATACTTTCATACCATTAGTATTAGGAATTCTTCTTGTCATCAATTACAGCTAGGGAAATCAATTGGTCAAGATAAGTTAGCAAACAAATAATGGAGGATAATGCAAGGTGAATTAGTAAATAGGAGTTTCAAACAAGTTTTCTGATTCTACTTCTGGTTATAGTGATTTATTGTATCTATAGTCCAACCAAAGAATTTTTCTCATTCAAAACATTTCAGAATGTGGTTCTATTTTACCTCTTTCAATGGTAGTATTTATGTCTCCCTACCCATTATTATTCACTTTAGTAGTCAGTCCCTTACATCTCCAAAAGCCATGATCATTATTATTGCTAGGATTTACCCATATTATTCTATTGGTAATTCTATTCTTTTTTACCTATATTTAAAAAAAATTAATTATTAAAAAAATTTTGGAAGTACATTGTAGGTGTGTATCTTTATGGGGTACATGAAATGTTTTGATGCAGGCATGTAATGTGAAATAAGCACATCATAGAGAATGGGATATCCATCCCCTCAAGCATTTATCCTTTGATTTATGAACAATCCAATTACATTCTTTAAGTTATTTCAAAATATACATTTAAGTTATTACTAACTATAGTCAACCTGTTGTGCTATCAAATAGTAGATTTCATTAATTCTTTCTAATTTTTTTGTACCTATCAACCATCCCCACCTGCCCACCAACCACCCCAGGCTATGGTAACTGTCTATTACTCTCTTTTTACTTTTACTCTCTATCTCCATGAATTCAATTGTTTTAATTTTTAGAACCCACAAATAAGTGAAAGCATGCAATGTTTGTCTTTCTGTGCCTGGCTTATTTCATTTAACATAATGATCTCCAGTGCCATCCATGTTGTTGCAAATGCCAGAATCTCATTCTTCTTTATGGCTGGTGAGTACTCCATTATCTATTTGTATCACGTTTTCTTTATCTATTCATCTGTTGATGGACACTTAGGTTGCATCCAAAACTTAGCTATTGTAAACAGTGCTGCAACAAATACAGGAGTGAAGATATCTCTTCAATATACTGATTTTCTCTCTTTTGGATATATACACAACAGTGGGAATGCTGGATCATATGGTAGCTCAATTTTTAGTATTTTGGGGAACTTCCAAATTATGGTTGTACTAATTTACATTCCCACCAACAGTGTACAGGTTCCCTTGTCTCCATATCCTCACCAGCATTTTTTATTGCCTATCTTTTGAATATAAGTCATTTTAACTGGGAGAGATGATATCTCATTGTAGTTTTGATATGCATTTCTCTGATGATTAATGATATTGAGCACATTTTCATATGCCTGTTTGCCATTTGTATGTCTTCTTTTGCAAAATGTCTATTCAAATATTTTGCCCATTTTCTGATCACATTATTAAATTTTTTCCTATAGAGTTGTTTGAGCTCCTTACATATTCTGGTTATTGACCTTTTGTCAGAGGGGTTAGTGTGCAAATATTTTCTCCCATTCTGTGGGTTTTCTCTTCACTTCGTTGATTGTATCCTTTGCTGTGCAGAAGCTTTTTAACTTGATGAGATCCCATTTGTCCATGTTTGCTTTGGTTGTCTGTGCTTATGCGGTATTGCTCAAGAAATCTTTGTCCAGATGAATGTCCTGGAGATTTTCCCCAATGTTTTCCTGTAGTAGTTTTATAGTTTGAAGTCTTAAAGTCTTTAATCCAGTTTGATCTTTTTTTTTTTTTTTGTATAGTGAGAGATAGAGGTCTAGGTTCCTTCTTTTGCATATAGATTGATATGGTTTTGCTGGGTCCCCACCCAAATCTCATCTTGAATTGTAGTTCCCATAATCCCCAAGTGTCATGGGAGGGACTAAGTGGTTTTATAAAGGGCTTCCATCTTTGCTTGTCTCTCAAACTTCTGTCTCCTGCCACTATGTGAAAAAGGATGTGTCTGCTTCCCCATCTGCCATGATTGTAAGTTTCCTGAGGACTTCCCAGCCATGCAGAGCTGCAAGTCAATTAAACCTCTTTCTTTTATAAATTACCCAGTCTCAGGTATTTCTTCATAGCCATGTGAGAAGGAACTAATACAGTAAATTGACACCTCAGAGAGTGGGGCATTCTTGTAAAGATACCCAAAAATGTGGAAGCAACCTTGGAACTGGGTAACAAGAAGCAGTTGGAACAGTTTGGAGGGCTCAGAAGACAGGAAGATGTGGGAAAGTTTGGAACTTTCTAGAGATTTGTTGCATGGTTTTGCCAAAAATGCTGATAGTGATATGGACAATGAAGTCCAATCTGAATTGGTCTCAGATGGAGATAAGAAACTTGCTGGAAACTGGAGTAAAGGTGACCCTTGCTATGCAAAGAGACTGGCTGCATTCTGCCCCTGCCCTAGAGACCTGTGGAACTTTAAATTTAAGACAGATGATTTAGGGTATCTGGGGGAAGAAATTTCTAAGTGGCAAAGCATTCAAGAGGAAGCAGAGCATAAAATTTTGGAAAACTTGAGAAAACCACATTGTCTAGGGGAGAAATTCAAGTCAACTGCAGAAATTTGCGTAAGTGACGAGAAGTCAAATGTTAATCACTAAGACAATGGGAAAAATGTCTCCAGGACATGGCAGAGACCTTCATGGCAACCCCTCCCATCACAGGCCTGGAGACCTAGGAGGGAAAAACGGTTTTGTGGGACAAGCCCAGGGCCCCCAGTGCTTTATGCAGCCTTGGGACATGATGCCGCGAATCTCAGCTGCTTCAGCTCTAGCTGTGGCTGAAAGGGGTCAATATACTGCTCAGGCCATTGCTTCAGAGAGTGCAAGCCTCAAGCCTTGGTGACTTACCTGTGGTGTTGGAACTGTGGGTGCACAGAAGTCAAGAATTGAGGTTTGGGAACCTCTGCCGAGATTTCAGTGGCCTGTATGGAAATGTTTGGATGTCCAGGCAGAAATTTGCTGCAGGAGCAGACCCTTCATTGAGAATCTCTGCTAGGGCAGTGTGGAAGAGAAATGTAGGGTTGGAGCCCCCACAGAAAGTTCCCATTGGAGCACTGTCTAATGGAGCTGTGAGAAGAAGGCCACCACCCTCCAGACCCCAGAATGGTAGATCAACTGACAGCTTGCATTGTGTGTCTGGAAAATCCACATATACTCTCTTTTGTGACATAGGCAGTTATAGCTATAAATTTTCCTCTTAGTACTGTTTTTTCTGTATTCCATAGGTTTTGGTATGTTGTGTTTCCATTACCATTTGTTTCAATAAAATTTTCAATTTTCTTTTTAATTTCTTCTTTGATCCACTAGTCATTCAGGAGAATATTGTTTAATTTTCATATATTTGTACAGTTTCCAATATTTCTCTTGTTATTAATTTCTAGTTTTACTTCATTCTAGTCAAACAATATGCTTGATATTATTTCAATTTTTTTAATGTTTTAAGACTTGTTTTGTGACCTAACACATGGTCTATCCTTGAGAATGATTTATGTGCTGAGGAAAAGAATGTTTATTTTGCAGTTCTTGTTTGATAAAATGTTTTGTAAATATCTATTAGGCCAATTTTGTCTACAGTGCAATGAAATCTGATGTTGCTTTGTTGATTTTCTGTCTGGAAGATCTGTCCACTACTAACAGTGGGGTGTTGAAGTCTCCAGCTATTGTTGTATTAGGGCCTCTCTCTCTCTTTCACATTAATAATGTTTCCTCTATATACCTGGGTGCTCCTGTGTTGGGTGCATATATATTTAAAGTTGTTATATCCTCTTGCTGAATTGACATCTTTATCATTGTATAGAGACCTTCTTTGTCTTTTCTTGTAATTTTTATCTTGAAATCTATTTTGTCTGATACAAGTATAGCAACTCCTGATCTTTCTTGTTTCCATTGGCAAGGAAATATATTCGTCCATCCTTTTATTTTCAGTCTATGTGTGTCTTTAGGGGTGAAAGATGTTTCTTGTAGGCAAGAGCTCAATGGGTGGTGTTTTTTCATCCATTCAACTAGTCTACTTTTTGGATTAGAGAGTTTAGTCCATTTATATTCAATGTTATTATTGATAACTAAAGACTTACTCCTGACATTTTGTTATTTGTTTTCTGGTTGTTATGTGGTCTTCTCTTCATATTCAATGTTATTATTGATAACTAAAGACTTACTCCTGACATTTTGTTATTTGTTTTCTGGTTGCTATGTGGTCTTCTCTTCCTTCTTTGTTTCATTCCTGTCTTCCTCTAGTGAAGATGATTTTCTCTAGTGATATGAATTAGTTTCTCACTTTTTATTTTGTTTTGTATTCATTGTATGGCTTTTGGTTTGAGGTTACCATAAGGCTTGCAAATACTATCTTATAACTCATTATTTTAACCTGATAACAATTTAACACTATTTGTATAAACAAACAAACAAGAAAAGTAAAACTTTAATAAAAACTCATTTAATTTTGTCTCCTGGTTTCTTAACTTTTGTTGTTTCTATTTTTATCCTATTGTAGTGACCACATCTTGAAAAGTTGTTGTAATTATTATATGTTTTTAAGATTGAGTTTTGCTCTGTCACCCAGGCTGGAGTGCAGTGGCATGATCTCAGCTTGCTGCAACCTCTGTCTCTTGGGTTCAAGTGATTCACCTGCCTCGACCTCCTGAGTAGCTGGAGTTACAGGTGCCCACCACCACACCAGATAATTTTTGTACTTTTAGTAGAGACGGGGTTTCACCATGTTGGCCAGGCTAGTCTCGAACTCCTGACTTCAGGTGATCTGCCCATGTTGGGCTCCCAAAGTGCTGAGAGTTACAGGCATGAGCCACCGTGCCCAGCCTGTAGTTATTATTTTTGATTGGTTCATTGTTTAGTCTTTCTACTTATGATAAGAGTAGTTTACACACCACAAATACAGTGTTATAATATTCCATGTTTTTATGTACTTACTATTACCAGTAAGTTTTGTACCTTTGGGTGATAATTTATTGCTCATTAATGTTCTTTTTCTTACTCATTGAAGTACTCCCTTTCTTGTAGGACAGGTCTGGTATTGGTGAAAATCCTCAGCTTTTATTTGTCTGGGAAAGTCTTCATTTTTCCTTCAGGTTTGAAAGTACTTTTTGCTGGACATGCTATTCTAGGGTAAAAGCTTTTTTCCTTCGTGACTTTAAACATGTCATGCCACTCTCTCCTGGCCTGTAAGGTTTCCACTGAAAAGTCTGCTGCCAGATGTATTGGATCTCCACTACATGTTATTTGTTTCTTTTCTCTTGCTGCTTTTAGGATCCTTTCTTTATCCTTGACCTTTAAAGTCTGATTATTAAATGCCTTGAGGTGGTCTTTGGATTAAATCTGCATGGTGTTCTATACCCTTGTTGTATTTGGATATTAATATCCTTGTCTAGATTTGGGAAGTTCTCTGTTATTATCCCTTTGAGTAAATTTTCTACCCCATCTCCTTCTCTACCTCCTCTTTGAGGCCAATAACTCTTAGATTTGCCCTTTTGAAGTTATTTTCTAGATCCTGTAGGCCTGCTTCATTGTTTTTTCTTTTGTCTTCTCTGACTGTGTATTCTCAAATAGCCTGTCTTCAAGCTCACTAATCCTTTCTTCTGCTTGATTCATTCTGCTATTGAAGAACTCTGATTTATTCTTCAGTATGTCAATGTATTTTTCAACTCCAGCATTTCTGCTTGATATTTTAAAAAGTTATATTACTCTCTTTGTTAAATTTACCTGATAGAATTCTGAATTCCTTCTCTTTGTTATCTTGAATTTCTTTGAGTTTCCTCCACACAGGTATATGGAATTCTCTGTTTGAAAGTTCATATATCTGTGTTTCTCTGGGATTGGCCCCTGGTGGCTTACTTAGTTCATTTGGTGAGGTCATGTTTTCCTAAATAATGTTGATGCTATTAGATGTTCTTTGGTGTTTGGCATTGAAGAGTTAGGTATTTATTGTAGTCGTCACTGTATGAGCTTATTTGTACCTATCATTCTTGGAAAGACTTTCTAGTTATTTGAGAGGACTTGGGTGTTGTTTTCTAAGCTGTTTTTGTGTTAGGGGGCACCTCAAGCCCAGTAATGCTGTGGTTCTTGCAGTCTCATAAAGTCATCACCTTAGTGGTCTTAGAAAAGATCTGGAAGACTTCTCTAGATTACCAGGAAAAGACACTTGTTCTATTCCCTTACTTTCTCCAAAATATACAGTCTCTGTCTCTCTTCTGAGCCACCTAAAGCTGGGAGTGGAGTGACACAAGTACCCCTGTGGCCACCACCACTACAACTGTGCTGGGTCAGACCTGAAACCTGCACAGCACTGGTTCTCACCCAAGGCCTGCTATAACCCTCCCTGGCTACTGCCTCTGATTGCTCAAGGCCCTGGGGCTCTATGATCTGCAGGTGGCAAAGTCAGCCAGGTCTGTGTCTTTCTTGTCAGGCCAGTAAGTTACCCCAGGCCCTGTGTGGATCCAGAAGTGCCATCCAGTAGTCAGAGACTAGAGTCAAAAACCTGAGTCATCTGCCTGGTATTCTATTGTATGGCAGCTCAGCAGGCTCTCAAGCCATAAGACACGATTCTTCCCACTCTTCCCTCCTCTTTCCAAAGGCGGAGGAGCCTTACCCTATAGCTGCCACCACCCCCAGCCACAAGGAGTACTGCTGGACTACCACCAATGTTCTTTCAAGGCCCAAGTTTTCTTAAGTCATCCTGTGATTAATGCTGCCTGGCTTGGGACTCAACCTTTAGAGCAGTGAGCTCCCCTGTGGCCCGTGGCAGGTCCAGAAATGCCATCCAAGAGTCAAGTCCTAGAATTGGAGACCCCAAGGGCCTGCTTGGTGCTCTACATTCCTGTAGCAGTGTTGGTACCTGAGGTATAAAACAAAGTCTCCTTTACTTTTCCTTCTGCTTTTCTCAAGCAGAAGGAATTTTGCACCATAGCCACCACAGCTGGTAATGTGCTGAGTCTCATCTGAAGTCAGCAAATCTCAGAGGCTCACCAAGGCCCTCGATGTGGTACCTGGGTGGCGTTGCTGGTTGCTCAGAAACCAAGAACTCTTCAGTTAGCAGGTGATGAATGCTGGCAGGACTGGCTCCTTTCCTTCAAGGCAGTGAGTTCCCTTCTGGCCCAGGGTGATTCTAGAAATGTTTTCTAGAAGCTAGGACCTGAAACATGGGCCTCACGACTCTGACCCATGCCCTATGCTGCTGTGGCTGAGTTGGTATCCAAAATGCAAAACAAAGTTCTCCCCACTCTTCCCTCTCCTTTCCTCAAGTAGAAGAAAGGGGTCTTTTCAAAACCTCAAGCTGCGCAGCCCGAGGTTATAGGAGGGGTGATGCCAGCACTCTCTTGACTGCCCCAGCTGGTGTCTCAGTATGTTGCATGCCCTCCCAATCCACTGTCTCTGGCCAAGCTCAGCCCTGGAACTTACCTAAAATTGCAGTCCTTATGTCCCAGACTGCCTTTCAAATTTATAAGAGCACTTTGGCCCTCAGTGGCGAGGTTTGTGGACACTTAAGTTCAGATGGCTGGGATTGGCAGCTCCCCTCTGGCTAGGGCTGATTTAAACACTTCCTTTCTGGGTGGACATCAGCTGAATTTTGTCTGTTTTCTCTTTCTGCTCTAACAGGATAGCACTGAGTTTAATGCCTCACAATTGTTGTGCTCTCCCTCCTCCAGCACCCAGAGAAAATGCTCTCTGAACTGCTGCTGCTGCTGGGGTGAGGGAGTGTTGATGTCAGTGATTCAAGACTGATTTTCTATCTCTTCAGTACCTCTTTCAATGATGTGAAGTTAAAACCAGGTACTGTGAGTGCTCACTTGATTTTTGGTTCTTATGAGGGTGTTTTTTCTTTGTAGATAGTTGTTAACTTAGTGTCCTTGCTGGGGGATGATCAGTGGAGCTTTCTATTCCGCCACCTTGTTCTACCTCCCTCGGCAATGCTATTTTTTTCTTCTGCTAACCAGACCAGATTTTATCCATATAGATCATAACCTTCCACCAATCAAGTTTTCTCAATTTCCGATTGATCACATGCATTTCAAAATTCTTATGACTTTTTATTTCTATTATACAACTTAGTACTCTATTACATATATCCTTATCTGTTTATTATTTTAACATCTTATGTCTTTTGTATCAAAAAAAATTTAAACTCCACCTTTTGATTCTAATGTATACTTAGGAGAACTTAAGAATATATAACTCAATTAAATAAATTTTCTTAGTGATTTGGTAATTCTTATCTGAAAGAACACAAAATACCTCTTGATGTTATTATAGATCAAAAAACAGAAGGAGTGTCTGTCGGTTTACCATTAACACACGTATAATAGCTAGAATGAAATTGTTCTGCATAGTTAAATATCCAAAATAACCAATATCTTGCTCAGATAAAGTAGTCAGAGCAAAAATATATTTATTCACTCACTTTTTAATGTACAATAGTTATCGAGAGTCAGGTGGCAATCACTGAGTTAGATGTTATATTATCACTATAGCCCAGCTTCTAATTCAAAGAGCTTATCTGGGAGTACAAACAAGTAAAGATATAATTTGAATACATGTGACTGAGGTAAGAACACTGGGTAGGACAGCATGTAAATAGTTGAGACTGACTCAGCCTTGGGGATTCAAGAAAGCTCCCTGGTGGAGGAACATATAATCATAGTTCCTAAAGAAAAAGATGTGGGGTATATATGTAGGTGAGTCCTACAGAATATAAGTAAGAAATCTAAATGGGAAAGAGATTATAGAAAATTTGAGATGTGTCTGTAATTCAACATGGTATATACACAGAATGACTGAGGATAGGAATGAGAATAATAAAAAAAGGAGATGAAATGAGAGGAAATAATCTCAGAGCCTACTGAACCTAACACTATAGGACAGGTAGATTTAGTATAATTTGGCAAGTATCTGCTATTGACCAAGAAACAACAGGATAAACAAATTATCTATTTCATCAATTCTAGAGTATGTTTAATATGCTCATGTCAATATATTCATATGTTTCATGTTTACAAGGCCATAATATCTTCTCTACTTGACATTTGCTCTGTTTGGTGTTTCTCAAATTTGAAAGTAATTTTTGTTAAAAAAAAAAATGTGCACAGTGGCAAGGCCAAACATTTTCTCCCACATGTATAGATACAACCTTATAAAAATATACGTAAGATTATAGGTACAAATACAGGGCTTATGCTTGTTTGATGTGATTTTTTTTCACTTTATATCTCAGATACATACTTATATGTCAGGACATATAGATCCATTTTGTTTTTTATTCAAATACATAAAATTTTATATTCTGTGTTTTTAATAATTTTTAAAATTCTTTTTGGCTTGACTTCATAACTAATTTCTACTCTCTTTCAATTCAAGAAATATATATGTCTATGTATGTATGACTAATTTTATTTAATGGATTAGATTCTGTGAGATTAAAAGATTTTTTATTTCTTTATATCATTTTTTAAGTAGTACCATATTAGTGTTTGAATTTTGCAGCAATTTTTAAATATAATATTCACAATGAATGTATATGTCATGTTTACTTCCTAAAGCATATATTTATGTATATAAATATATATGCAAAATCACATGAATAATAGTTTCTACTCTCAGAACATCAAACTGTATTAATATAATGTGTACCTGTGTGTGTGTTGTGTACATTTACCTTAGTGTCATTTTTCTTCAGTATATTGATTTTCTTGGGAATAGTGTGCTATAATAGTTTTTTAATATTTACTTCATAACTCTCAATCCCCTGTTGAGTGCATTGTGAAGGCTTAATCAATGCTAAAATCAAATATAATAAACTTGCAAAGTATTCAAATCAATGCTTCCTTTCCTTTTTGACTTTTGGGCTAATTATACCAGTAATTCTTATCTCTATGAACACCCTGAACTCAATGGTTCTGAGTGAGTAGTTTTGTTTCCCTTTTATCTTTGTAATTTCTAGATAATTTTCCTTTTGTCATTTTTTCCCGGTTTTTATTTTTTTAATATGGGTATAAAGTATTCATATTACTTTACTTTCAAAGCACTTTATTTTAATGAGGATACTATATAAAAAACTTAAAAAGCATGAGATTTTAATAAAACTCACGTCCTTCTATATCATTGCTATAGAAACTGACTCATTTTCATCAAGCAGAGTTAATTAAGACTTTTTTCATTGTTTTTTTCCCCCAGTTAGCCTCTTCTAATAATTATGCTTCCATTCTCTAAATTTAGGAAGTTGTTAAAAAACCCCAGTGTTAGAGAAAATTGTCATTGCAAAGGAAACATATTATCATTAGAAACATAAAATATTAATAGCTGTAATATAATAACAAATATTTGCATATCCTTTTTTTCATTGTGCAATGTGACAATCTACTATGTCAGTAGATTCAAATAACAACCTTTATAATAGAAAATCAAAGTCATTTTTCAGATGATAAAATTAAGAGTCACAGACATTGGTCTTCAAAATAGCTGCTTAGTAAGAGAGGCGACTAGGACATAGTATCCAAGTCCCCAGCATGTTTTTTCAAATAATTTCAAAATTCTCCAAACTCCTTGCCTATAATAGCTTTCTTTAACAGAAAATAGCCAAGAAAATCTCAGAAAAACTTTTATCATCTTTCTTAATGTATCTCTTTTTGTTTTGTTTTGTTTGTTGAGACAGAATTTCACTCTGTTGCCCAGGCTGGAGTGCGGTGGTGCCATCATGGTTCACTGCAGCCTCGAACCCCTGAGCTCAGGTGATCCACCCTTCTCAGCCTCCTGAGTAGTTGGGATACAGGCACGTGCCACCACGCCCAGATAATTTTTCTATACTTTTTCAGAGAGAGGGGTTCACTGTGGTTCCCAGGCTGGTCTCAAACTCCTAGGCTCAAGTGGTACATCCACCTCAGCCTCCCAAGTGATAGGATTACAGGCATGAGCCACCATGCCCTGCCATAATGTATCTCTTAACTTTGCAATCAATTATGACATCACAACACACATATATAAGAACAATCAATGTACATGTAAGATGAAAAATATATATTGAGCACTTCTGTATGACAGTCACTGGTCTAGCTGTCAGGAAATTTTTGACAACCTACTGGAGAAAATGCGTCCGTAAGAGAATAATTCTACATATGTTATAATACAATGTGGTACGGAATCTGACAGAGGTGCTCACCAAGTGATTTGAGAGAATAGAAGGGTCAATTAGTTTGACTTCAGAAGAATGAGCTTGTCTTGAAAGGTGGGAACAAGAACAAAAATGGCTTTAGAATCTGCATTCCACTGACTTTTAAAGATGAACAGGTAAATTCAAAAGTAAGATCTTTCCAAGTGATAAAAGAAAAATCATTTTCAATGCAGCACTCCATCACAGCTAATGTGACTGTATACTTTATCAGTTATTAATCAGCACCTGAGACAACAGGTATAAACTGGGGACAGTCCTGTACAAACCCAGATTTATGGGTGCCGTAGGTTCTCTCCAGAAAGAAAGACAATGAAGTAAAGATCTACAAATAACAGTATCATTACATTGCTTCTCTAAAGTCAGTCTCCTGCTCCATCCTATATATCTGACAATGCTGCCACACTCTCACACATCCAAGACAAAAAAGTGGGAATCGACCTAGACCCTCCCTATCTGATTCTTACCCCAGTTATGATATAAATCCTTTAAAATATATCTGCTAATTCTCTTCCCTCTCTTCATCACTGTGGCCACTACATAAACCATCCTTATCTCATGCCTAGACTTTTTAATTCCAGCTACTCAGGCTCCTTTCCTTCAGCTTGCACTTTATTCTACACAATGCTCCAGATTCTGTTACCTAAAATCCATAACTAGTCATGGCACTTCCTTGGACTTTATGTCCACTACAGGTATGTTGGCTAACAAAAAAGGCCTTTCTGGATTTGCCCTACGTATCAGTTTTTCTGGCCTTCTACATTGCTGCATGTTTCTCGTTTTTATTTTTTTATTTTTTTTTTTTTTTACATTATAGAGACTCAATAATATATCCCTAAACACAGCATACATTTCTTTCCACTTTTGCAATTTTCTATATGCTCCTCCCTCTGCCTGGAATTTCTCTCTTCCCTTGTCTTCACAGAGGTCCTCAAAATCCTATCAAAGGTCATTTAATTTCTCTTTTTTTCCCTTTCACACTCACAAACAAGAGTAAATTTCTTCCTGCTCTTTGATATGCTGGGTTTTTGTTTGTTTGTTTGTTATACATTGGGGCCTGTCAGGGGTGGGAGGAGGAGGAAGGGAGAGCATCAGGAAAAATAGCTAATGGATCCTGCCCTTAATACCTAGGTGATGGGATGGTCTGTGCGGCATACCACTATGGCACATGTAACAAACGTACATCCTACACACATACCCTTAAATTTAAAATAATAGTAAAAGAAAAAAAACAGTAATTTTAAAAGAGAAGTTTTATTCTTAATACTAGTAATCTTAAATGGCACAGGATTGGGGTGTAGGGAGGGGATGAGCAGTGCAGAGGAGACGAAGAAGCTGTTTTAATATGCAGTCATGCATTGCCTAATGATGGAAACACATTCTGAAAAATGCATCTTTAGGCAACTTTTGCTGTGTGCTAACATCATAGAGTGTACTTACATAAACCTAGATGGTATAGCCCACTTTACACCTAGGCTATATGGTTCAACCTATTGCTTTTAGGCTACAAACCTCTACAGCATGTTATTCTACTGAATACTGTAGGCAATTGTAACACAATAGTAAGTACTTGAGTATCTAAGAATAAGCATAGAAAAGGTACAGAAAAAAATACAATATTATAATCTTAAGAGGTCATCATCATATATGAGTTCCATTATTGAGCAAAACACCATTATGCCATCCATGACTGTAATTTGTGGCAACTTCATATCATAATTATTTCAAAATTGAAGGGAGACGGACACTGAATTAATTACCTGTTTCTTATTTGTTTAGAATTTTCTAAAAAGTCCTATCTGTTCCTTTCTTGTTCCCTTGTGTAGATTAATCGTGCAAAGTCTAGAATGTATTCTGAAACATTCAAAGGAAGTGGCCTAATATGTATATACATTATTATTATTTAACTCTTAAAAAACTGAAACTGATCCACAAACCAAAAAGTTAACTACCTCATGAAACTAACAGGTTTCAATCTGCTTACACACCTTATGGAAAATTCTACAATATTTCACTTGAAACCAGAAGAAGACTAATAGTGCCACAGCTAAGGCTGAGGAGTCTAAGGCTTTTTTTTTTTTTTTTTTTTTTTTTTGCCAAACCTAGAAACTCACTTCCTAGAAAAACACCTTCCATTTATAATGCAAATGTGTTGGTGGCAAGCACTCTCTCAGAATGGTTATGAAAGCCAAATTTATCATCCTCACCTAATAGCAGAAACACAAGAGAGCACCGGTATCATCTCTGACCTTGGAGAAAAACGTTTACTATGAAAATAAAAGGCAGGAAGTCACCTTAACCTGTCCACTAGAAACACTAAAAATCATGTGTTCTGTTCTTTAACAAAAATAGATCAAAATCACCAAACTGTATATCTACAGCAAACTTTATTTTTTTATTTTTCAAGCTTTTTTAATTTTATTATACTTTAAGTTCTAGGGTACATGTGCACAACGTGCAGGTTTGTTACATAGGTATACATGTGTCATGTTGGTTTGCTGCACCCATCAACTCGTCATTTACATTAGGTATTTCTCCTAATGTTATCCCTCCCCTAGTTCCCCAACCCCCCGACAGGCCTCAGTGTGTGATGTTCCCTGCCCTGTGTCCAAGGTTTCTCATTGTAAAATTCACACCTATGAGTGAGAACACATGGTGTTTGGTTTTCTGTCCTTGTGATAGTTTGCTAAGAATGATGGTTTCCAGCTTCATCCATGTCCCTGCAAAGGACATGAATTCATCCTTTTATGGCTGCATAGAATTCCATGGTGTATACATGCCATATTTTCTTAATCCAGTCTATCATTGACGGACATTAGGGTTGGTCTTTGCTATTGTGAATAGTGCCGCAGTAAACATATGTGTGCATGTGTCTTTACAGTAGCATGATTTATAATCCTTTGGGTATATACCCAGTAATGAGATTGCTGGATCTAATGGGATTTCTAGTTCTAGATCCTTGAGGAATCGCCACACTGTCTTCCACAATGGTTGAATTAATTTACACTCCCACCAACAGTGTAAAAGCGTTCCTATTTCTCCACATCCTCTCCAGCATCTGTTGTTTGCTGACTTTTTAATGATCGCCATTCTAACTGGTGTGAGATGGTATCTCATTGTGATTTTGATTTGCATTTTTCTGATGATCAGTGATGATGAGGATTTTTTCGTGTGTCTGTTGGCTGCATAAATGTCTTCTTTTGAGAAGTGTCTGTTCATAACCTTTTCCCACTTTTTGATGGGGGTGTTTTATTCTTGTAAATTTAAATTCTTTGTAGATTCTGGATATTAGCCCTTTGTCACATGGGTAGATTGCAAAAATTTTCTCCCATTCTGTAGGTTGCCTGTTCAGTCTGATGGTAATTTCTTTTGCCGTACAGAAGCTCTTTAGTTTAATTAGATCCCATTTATCTATTTTGGCTTTTGTTGCCATTGCTTTTGGTGTTTTAGTCATGAAGTCTTTGCCCATGCCTATGTCCTGAATGGTATTGCCTAGTTTTTCTTCTAGGGTTTTTATGGTTTTAGGTCTAACATTTAAGTCTTTAATCCATCTTGAATTAATTTTTGTATAAGATGTAAGGGAGGGATCCAGTTTCAGCTTTCTACATATGGCTAGCCAGTTTTCCCAGCACCATTTATTATATAGGGAATCCTTTCTTCATGTCTTGTTTTTGTCAGATTTGTCAAAGATCAGATGGTTGTAGATGTGTGGTGTTATTTCTGAGGCCTCTGTTCTGTTCCATTGGTCTATATACCTGTTCTGGTACCAGTACCATGCTGTTTTGGTTACTGTGGCCATGTAGTATAGTTTGAAGTCAGGTAGCATGATGCCTTCGGCTTTGTTTTTGTTTTGTTTGTTTGTTTTTGTTTTTTGTTTAGGATTGTCTTGGCAATGCGGGCTCTTTTTTGGTTCCACATGAACTTTAAATTAGTTTTTTTCCAATTCTGTGAAGAAAATCATTGGTAGCTTGATGGGGATAGCATTAAATCTATAAATTATCTTGAGCCATTTTCATGATATTGATTCTTCCTATCCATGAGCATGGAATGTTCTTCCATTTTTTTTGTGTCCTCTTTTACTTCGTTGAGCAGTGGTTTGTAGTTCTCCTTGAAGAGGTCCTTCACATCCCTTGTAAGTTGGATTCCTAGGTATTTTATTCTCTTTGTAGCAATTGTGAATGGAAGTTCACTCATGATTTGGCTGTCTGTTTGTCTGTTATTGGTATATAGGAATGCTTGTAATTTTTGCACATTGATTTTGTATCCTGAGACTTTGCTGAAGTTGTTTATCAGCTTAAGGAGATTTTTGGCTGAGACGATGGGGTGTTCTAAATATACAATCATGTCATCTGCAAACAGAGAAAATTTGACTTCCTCTTTTCCTAATTGAATACCCTTTATTTCTTTCTCTTGCCTGATTGCCCTGGCCAGAACTTCCAACACTGTGTTGAATAGGAGTGGTGAGAGACGACATCCTTTTGTTGTGCCGGTTTTCAAAGGGAATTGTTCCAGCTTTTGCCCATTTAATATGATTTGGCTGTGTGTTTGTCATAAATGGCTCTTATTATTTTAAGATACATTCCATCAATACCTAGTTTATTGAGAGTTTTTAGCATGAAGGGCTGTTGAATTTTGTTGAAGGCCTTTTCTGCGTCTATTGAGATAATCATGTGGTTTTTCTCGCTGGTCCTGTTTATGTGATGGATTACGTTTATTGATTTGCATATGTTGAACCAGCCTTGCATCCCAGGGATGAAGCAGACTTGATCGTGGTGGATACACTTTTTGATGTGCTGCTGGATTTTGTTTGCCAGTATTTTATTGAGGAGTTTTGCATCGATGTCCATCAGGGATATTGGTCTAAAATGCTCTTTTTTTTTGTTGTGTCTCTGCCAGGTTTTGGTATCAGGATGATGCTTGCCTCATAAAATGAGTTAGGGAAGATTCTCTCTTTTTCCATTGATTTGAATAGTTTCAGAAGGAATGGTATCAGCTCCTCTTTGTACCTCTGGTAGATTTCAGCTGTGAATCCATCTGGTCCTGGATGCTTTTTGGTTGGTAGGCTATTAATTATTGCCTCAATTTCAGAGCCTGTTATTGGTCTATTCGGAGATTCAACTTCTTCCTGGTTTAGTCTTGGGAGGGTGTAAGTGTAAAGGAATTTATCCATTTCTTCTAGATTTTCTAGTTTATTTGCATAGAGGTGTTTGTAGTATTCTCTGATGGTAGTTTGTATTTCTGTGGGATTGGTGCTGATATCCCCTTTGTCATTTTTTACTGCGTCTATTTGATTCTTCTTTCTTTTCTTCTGTGTTAGTCTTGTTAGCAGTCTATCAATTGTGTTGATCTTTTCAAAAAACCAGCTCCTAGATTAATTGATTTTTGGAAGGGTTTTTTGTGTCTCTATCTCTTTCAGTTCTGCTCTGATCTTTGTTATTTTCTGCCTTCTGCTAGCTTTTGAATTTGTTTGCTCTTGCTTCTCTAGTTCTTTTAGTTGTGATGTTAGGACATTGATTTCAGATCTTTCCTGCTTTCTCTTGTGGGCATTTAGTGCTATAAGTTTCCTTCTACACACTGCTTTAAATGTCCCAGAGATTCTGGTACATTGTGTCTTCGTTCTCATTGGTTTCAAAGAACTTATTTATTTCTGCCTTCATTTCGTTATTTACCCAGTAGTCATTCAGAAGCAGGTTGTTCAGTTTCGATGTAGTTGTGCAGTTTTGAGTGAGTTTCTTAATCCTGAGTTCTAATTTGATTGTACTGTGGTATGAGAGACAGTTTGTTGTGATTTTTGTTCTTTTTCATTTGCTGAGGAGTGCTTTACTTTCAATTATGTGGTCAATTTTAGAATAAGTGCTATGTGGTGCTGAGAAGAATGTATATTCTGTTGATTTGGGGTGGAGGGTTCTGTAGATGTCTATTAAGTTCATTTGGCCCAGAGCTGAGTTCAAGTCCCGGATATCTTTGTTAACCTTCTGTCTCATTGACCACTGTCTAATATTGACAGTGGGGTGTTAAAATCTTCCAATATTATTGTGTGGGAGTCTAAGTCTCTTTGTAGGTCTCTAAGGACTTGCATTATTAATCTGGGTGCTCTTGTATTGGGTACATATATATTTAGCATAGTTAGCTTTTCTTGTTGAATTGATCCTTTTACCATTATGTAATGGCCTTCTTTGTCTCTTTGATCTTTGTTGGTTTAAAGTCTGTTTTATCAGAGACTAGGATTGTAACCCCTGCTTTTTTTTTTTTTTGCTTTCCATTTGTTTGTTAGATCTTCTTCCATCCCTTTATTTTGAGCCTATGTGTGTCTCTGCACATGAGATGGGTCTCCTGAATACAGCACACTGATGGGTCTTGACTCTTTATCCAATTTGCCAGTCTGTGTCTTTTAATTGGGGCATTTAGCCTATTTACATTTAAGGTTAATATTGTTGCATGTGAATTTGATCCATCATTATGATGTTAGCTGGTTATTTTCCCTGCTAATTGATGCAGTTTCTTCATAGCATCAATGGTCTTTACAATTTGGCATGTTTTTGCAGTGGCTGGTATGGTTTGTTCCTTTCCATGTTTAGTGCTTCCTTCAGGAACTCTTGTAAGGCAGGCCTAGTGGTGACAAAATCTCTCAGCATTTGCTTGTCTGTAAAGGTTTTTATTTCTCCTTCACTTATGAAGCTTAGTTTGGCTGAATATGAAATTCTGGGTTGAAAATTCTTTTCTTTAAGAATGTTGAATATTGGACTTCACTCTCTTCTGGCTTGTAGAGTTTCTGCTGAGAGAGAGATCTGCTGTTAGTCTGATGGGCTTCCCTTTGTGGGTAACCTGACCTTTCTCTTTGGCTATTCTTAACATTTTTTCTTTCATTTCAACCTTGGTGAAACTGAAAATTATGTGTCTTGGGGTTGCTCTTCTCAAGGAGTATCTTTACGGTGTTCTCTGTATTTCCTGAATTTGCTGAATTTGAATGTTGGCCTGCCTTGCTAGGTTGGGGAAATTCTCCTGGATAATATCCTGAAGAGTATTTTCCAACTTGATTCCATTCTCCCCGTCACTTTGAGATACACCAATCAAACGTAGATATGGTCTTTTCACATAGTCCCATATTCCTTGGAGGCTTTGTTCATTTCTTGCTAAGCTTTTTTTTCTAAACTTGTCTTCTCACTTTATTTCAATAATTCGATCTTCAATCACTGATATCCTTTCTTCAACTTGATTGAATTGGCTATCGAAGCTTGTGCATGAGTCACAAAGTTCTTGTGCCATGGTTTTTCAGCTCCATCAGGTCATTTAAGGTCTTCTCTACACTGTTTATTCTAGTTAGCCATTTGTCTAACCTTTTTTCAAGGTTTTTAACTTCCTTGCGATGGGTTAGAACATGCCTCTTTAGCTTGGAGAAGTTTGTTATTACTGACCTTCTGAAGCCTACTTCTGTCAACTCATCAAAGTCATTCTCCATCCAGCTTTGTTCTGTTGCTGGCGAGGAGCTGTGATCCTTTGGAGGAGAAGAGGCTCTCTGGTTTTTAGAATTTTCAGCTTTTCTGCTGTGGTTTCTCCCCATCTTTGTAGTTTTATCTACCTTTGGTCTTTGATGTTGGTGACCTACAGATGGGGTTTTGTTGTGGATGTCCTTTTTGTTTATGCTGATATTATTCCTTTCTGCTTGTTAGTTTTCCTTCTAACAGTCAGGTCCCTCAGCTGCAGGTCTGTTGGAATTTGCTGGAGGTCCACTCCAGACCCTGTTTTCCTGGGTATCACCAGCAGAGGCTGCAGAACAGCAAATATTACAGAACAGCAAATATTGCTGCCTGATCCTTCTCTGGAAGCTTTGTCCCAGAGGCACCTGCCTGTAAGAGGTGTCTGTCAGCCCCTGCTGGGAGGTGTCTCCCAGTTAGGCTACCCAAGGTCAGGGATCCGCTTGAGGAGGCAGTCTGTCTGTTCTCAGAGCTCAAATGCCATGCTGGGAGAACCACTGCTCTCTTCAGAGCTGTCAGAGAGGGACGTTTAAATCTGCAGAAGTTTCTGCTGCCTTTTCTTCACCTATGCCCTGCCCACAGAGGTGGAGTCTATAGAGGCAGTAGGCCTTGCTGAGCTGCGGTGGGCTCCACCCAGTCTGAGCTTCCTGGCAGCTTTCTTTACTTACTCAAGCCTCAGCAATGGCGGACACCTCTCCCCCCACCAGTATGCAGCCTTGCAGGTCAATCTCAGACTGCTGTGCCAGCAATGAGCAAGGCTCTGTGGGCATGGGACCTGCCAAGCCAGGCATAGGAGAGGATCTCCTGGTCCACCAGTTGCTAAGACCATAGGAAAAGTGCAGAATTTGGGTGAGAGTGTCCCATTTTACCAGGTACAGTCTGTCACTGCTTAACTTGGCTAGGAAAGGGAAATCCCCTGACCCCTTGTGCTTCTTGGGTGAGGCAACACCCAACCCTGCTTCAGCTTGCCCTCCATGGGCTGCACCCACTGTCAATCAGTCCCAATGAGATGAACCATGTACCTCAGTTGGAAATGCAGAAATCACCTGTTTTCTGCGTCAATCACGCTAGGAGCTGCAGACCAGAGCTTTTCTTATTCGGCCATCTTGGAACCCAGCTCTCTACAGCAAACTTTAAATGAAGTAATGAAAATTTAATTTACATTGAATTACATCCCATAGAATATTATTTGGAAGTTAAAGAATAGAGTTACAAGATTTTCCTTTGACTGTGAAACTATCTAGTAGGCCAAAATGAAATATATTCAAAACAATATTTGGAGGAAGGCAGCCTCAATTTTTTGTTAAAGTATTTTGATATTTGGTCATATAAAATTTGGGGGGTCATAAACTTTCTGAAACAGTTATTTCTTTCTTTCTTCTTCCTTTGTTTCTTTTTTAAAAGAAAAAAATACAGGGCATTTTATAGTTCTCTCCCTTTAGTCCTGGATTATTTTCAATAGCCAAAAACTGAAGAAAAGAAAAAAAAGTTTGTCAGCTGGTGAACAGGTATACTAATTGTGGTACATCCATCCATGCAAAGGAATACTACTTAGCAATATAATGAATGAATTACTGATAATATGCAACAACATGAGTGAAGCTCAGGAGAGCATATAGGATAGAAAAAAATACATTTGGGCTGGGTGCGGTGGCTCATGCCTGTAATCCCAACACTTTGGGAGGCCGAGGCGGGTCGATCAAGAGGTAAGGAGATTGAGACCATCCTGGCTAACATGGTGAAACCCCGACTCTACTAAAAATACAAAAAATTATCCAGGTGTGGTGATGGGCGCGCCTGTAGTCCCAATTACTCGGGGGGCTGAGACAGGAGAATGGTTTGAACCCGGGAGGTGGAGCTTGCAGTGAGCTGAGATCATGCCACTGCACTCCAGCCTGGGTGACAAAGCAAGACTACATCTCAAAAAAAAAAAATACATTTGAAGAAATAGTGGATTCCAAATGTAGTGAGAAACTTCACATACAGTTCCAAGAAGTCCAGTTTATCTCAAGCAGAATACTATGAAATAAACCATACTAAAGCACATCACAGACAAATTGCTTAATATGAAGGTAAAGAAAAAACCTTAAAAGTATGCAGATTAAAATGACACATTGTATGCAAGGTTACCATGTACAAGACCAGAGATAAAATGTAAAGAAACTTCTCATCATAAACAATGTAGATATAAAGACAATGGTTTAATAACATTAAAAAGCATTAACGGAAGAAAAAAACATTTTCACCAACATTTTTTATCTAGCAAAATTATCCGTCAAAAGTGAATTTGTTATATTTTTTAAAAACTGATAGAATTTATTTAGCAGACCTTCAATACAAGAAATGCTAAAGGAAGTTTTTCAGGCGACAGGGCATAATTCCAAATAGAAACTCAGATCTACGGGAAGGAATGAAATTGCCAGAAATAGTGTGTGTATAAATATTAAAGACTGTGAATAACTATAAACTGTTTAACAAAGTAAGCAAGAAGCAACAAATCTATCCAAGACCATCTACAGTGGTTCTAATATTCATATATTTTGCAGAGTGTGTTTTTCTTTAGCCCAATACATTCACTTATATATAAACCTTAAAACTCAATAAGCCTTTACCAGTCTCTTTAAATTATCTAATTCCACTAACTTTCTTGAGTGAATAGTGAAAGATGAAAATAGTCATTTCATTTTAATTTACTACATATTTAATTATTACTACTATTATTATTATATCCAGAATTTCCTAGGAAATTATTAAAAAATAATTTTGTTTTCATTAGCTTTTTAGGATAATCTATGCATCTAAGACAATGGTATTAAAAAATCTTACATTTTATTTATGAAATTTTCATGGGAATTGAAAATCTCTAAAACAAATATTTCAATATCAGTACTCATTCTACTGTAAATCAAATATAGAAAGTATACAAAGAGCTATTCAGATATGTAAAATATACAGTTAATAGGTTACATAATTTATCATATATCATTGTATAATTATCGTATATTTTCTTTAGTCAGAAAATTTCTGTATATATTACGGACTCATTTCTGAAGACAAATTTAGCCTAAAGAGACTGACTAGCCCCTAAGCTCACTTTAACAAAAATAAAGATTGCCACCTGAATGTGTCTTATTGCGAAGGATCGGCCTAAGTTTTAACACCAAGCACCCAGTGGAATTTTATTTAGACTAAAAGAAATAATTTTTGGCTGGGCACGGTGGCTCATGCCTGTAGTCCCAGCACTTTGGGAGGCCGAGGTGGGTGGATCATGAGGTCAGGAGTTCAAGACTAGCCTGGCCAACATGGTGAAACCCCATCTCTTCTAAAAATACAAAAATTAGCTGTGTGTGGTGGTGGGCACCTGTAATCCCAGCTGCTCGGGAGGCTGAGGCAGGAGAATCGCTTGAGCCCAGGAGGTGGAGGTTGCAGTGAGCCAAGATCGCACCATTGCACTCCAGCCTGGGTGACAGAGCAAGACTCCATCTCAAAAAAAAAAAAAAGAAAAAAGAAATCATTTTTTTTCTCTACTATCATTCAAACTACTCCTCTTCCCCATGTCTCTTTTGAAAATGTTCAAAGTTTTGTGAATTTTTTTCTACATAAACATGATGATATTAACAGTAATTTTTACAATCCAATTGTTCCTAAGTGTATTAAAATTTAATGTAGTTTGGCAATGGCAATTCCAGAAAAAGTATAATCTGCATAAAACATGAGGCAGCATGAAGCAGAGTTATTCAGAGGACATTCAGGCTTCCACTGTCAATGTTCACAATTCAATTCTATGCCATGAAAACATGCACACACATACTTACAAAAATATGCTAGTTTACAGTTCAGAGTTAAGGACAGTTTCATTGTCTCAGTGGTGGATCAGACACATCTTTCTTCTCTCTAGGTGCTTCCAACTGTTCAGATCTCAGATACAGAGGGATATATCATTATAGAGCTTGCCAAATCTGACACTCCTTATTCATGGGCAGGTCAGAATTGTCATGAATCTCAAAACGTAACATCTTATTTATATGTTTTATATAGAGGTATCATAACGTTAAAATAATTTTTATATTATTAAATGTGGGTCGAATGAATTTAGCCATAACACACACCTACAGGGAATTTGTAATATGCTATATTAACATTATTATGATCAGCCATCAACTTCCACTTATTTTATTCTCAGCAATTTAGATGTGAAACAGATGATGCTAACTTTAGGGAATTCAACTTTTATTTTAGGATCTAGAATGTGAAAAAACAAAAAGGAGTGAAAGGTAGGAGTGGACAAGTCAATTCTTGGCAATAAGAAACCTTTTAAATCCTGCTAGGGTCCAATGAATCACACAATTACATACATAGAACAGGATAGCTAAATGAATGAATTTATCCACATGCCTATAGCACCAGAACAACTAGGAATTACTTGTTTCTCCCCTCTGAGATTAAGAGTAAGAAACACAAAATCAAACTCTCACTAAGTATGCTCAGCTATTTTATTTATCTGTTGTTGTTTGATTGTTAGTTGGTTGGAAAGTTTATTGGGTTGGTGTTTATTACTTTCTTTTTAAATAAAACTATTATCCATACTGGAAATCAGTCACTTTCACAAATGTGATTCACTTTCTTACCATATAGGTTACTTATGTATATCATAAACCTAATTCTTAGCTATTAGTGAATGAAATGAGTCATGAGCAAAGGCTGACTTACATCTTTTATTTTATTCCCACCGATTAATTTCCCAAATTCAGAAATATATAGATAAGAAAAAAAATCAAAGCAGTATAATCTGTTTGGTTCACCTAACTCACTCAACCCTATGCTAGAGCCAAGCCTCACTACCTTGTTCAGGAGTTAACTAGCACAGAAAACAGGCAGTAGTCATTTTTATGCACTAAAAACCTCAGTAGAACTCCTTGCAGAGATATCCAACATTTTGGATTCATTATTCAGTTGAGATGGCAATTAATTGAAACTCTCTTATTTTCCAAATTTGCCATAAACTAGTGAACACCTGGATCAAAGCGAATTATTGTTCTTCTCTTATCTTCCGCTGCTTTATCATGGTTACCTGGAGCCAGGCTGGAGGGAGAGATTCATACTTGCCTAAATGGTAAGAGAGCACTTAGGAAGTTTAACCCAAACCTGTATTTCTAGAAAATGTACTACTATTATCTGCAGAGAAATAGATCCTTGCAATATAAAGCTGATAGTTACAATTTGCATAAGAAAATATTGTAATGTCAAAATGGAGTTTCAGCTTGGAATGAAAAAAGATACCACTGGGGCATGACAGTAATGATCATTTATTTTACAAGTCTCAAGAGGACCTCCCTGGTGAGAACCCATGCTGATATTCTGTATCAGCTTACCTTGTACAAGTGGATATTAACTGCACACAAAGCGGAAGCCAATTTTATTGTAAATTTTTTCATTGCTAAGATTGACTCACAAGAGGCTCATTTTCTGTGCGTCCCAAAGGACGGCAGTCATGCAGCGTTGTTTAAGCAAACTCATTACTGTTCAAGCAATGCCACATAAACCTTCCATCTAAAACAACAAATTATATAGTATAAACATGCTTCTTTAAACAAACACTCTAAAGCCAGGGGAAGCTATAGCTACAGCAGGAATCTAGACATTTCTTATTAAGACAATAAACATAGGTATCAAAACAGACTTTTTTTGGTCTATATATTTTTTAGTGGATACTATGTGATAAGTGATTTATGTTTATAATCTCATAATTGGTACCCAGACAGAATTGTCACATGAACTGAGTCTCTCTGACTCTAAGTTCTGGACTCTTGTTCAAGTGTACTGCAGTCTCTAGCTCTATGAGTTTTTAGTCCAATATTAAGAATTTTTGGACTGCTGTTTCCATATTATCTAGAATTTAGCCCCATCCCAAATTTAGAATTCTTCTTGCTTCTACTTACTGGAAATTTGGAAAGCATGAAAGTTTAGTAACAATTCATGTTGGTGGTTTTAGGAACATATTATTCCCTGGCCAACCTAATGATGATGTCTGATGTCTGGACCCGACCAACTTGGAACTATCAAAAGGCCAAATTCTGTTGTCTCAACCAAGAAAACCTATGCTTTTGCGTCTTTCCAAGAGTGAACCTGTACCATACTTTATGCCCTTAGGCTCTGAACTCAGGTTACCTGGGTTAGAAACTTGTCTCCATCATTTACTAGCTGTGTAAGTTCCAGCAAGTTATAAACTTCAGCTCCATATCTGTAAAATGGTGACTGTCATAGTAAAGTTGCATTGATGGAGTTAAGCAAAGAAGACTTTATTCAAGACTATTGAAATAGAAGAAATAATTTAAGGTTAATTCTTCTGAAACAGGTAGGGGTTTTTTAAGCCTTGAGGTGAGCAGGTGGAAAAGTACTGGAGGAAACTGGGGAGGTTGGTTAATGTGATAAGGCCATCTGAGTTTATTAATTGGCACATGAAAATTAGGTACCCACCATCCCACAGAGACTAGGAGATAGAGGCAATATCTCCTTCCCTGATTACATTTCAAAAGATTAGCTCCCACATCCTGGAGAAAGACATTCTCAGGTTATAAAACTGGCAGGAGGCTAGCAGAAGATTTATATCTGAAAGAGGCAGAAAATGATTCTACAATTTAAAGTTTTAAATGCTCAAAAAAAAAGGGACATTAGGGGCTTAGAGTCAGAAAGAAGCCTGTCTACAGTTTTGTCAAGCTGAGGGGAAAGTTAAAGCTGTCTTGATCAGGAGATAATAATCATAGCTTCCATGGTTGCTGGGAGGATGGAGACTGATAATGCCTACTGACCTGTATCACCACTGTGGTTGGTATAGGGTGAGTACTCAACATGTAGTAGTAGGTATTACCTTTATCCCCATATTAATCTCTGTTTTCTAACAACTGATTACTGCTCCTACTCCTCCCCTTGCTAGCAATCACACAGTTTGGACATTTCATTGCACCGTGTATCCTCATCATCTGCACAGGTCAATTTTACAGCATTCTCTCTGGCTCTCTCTTGAAACCATCTAGGCCAGAGGTTTTTAAACAGTCTCAGTTCATGGTGCCTTTAATGTCTCAATATTTTTTCACACCAAATCTAAAAGAAAAGAAGTACTTAACAATTCTATTTATGAATCAATTAGGTCCAAACAACTTAATAAATGGATTGGTCCTAACAATTTAGTAGCTGTTTGAAAAAATAATGGAAATAAATCTAAAAGATAGCATTTTTATTCAGTCTTAACCACAGTTACTTGCTAATGGAATGTGTGCCTGTGCTACTCTGTGCAGCTTCTCAAACCTTGGAGTCATGGTGTACAAGTCTACCTTTATTTGTTATTCTGCATTGATTTTTAGTAATATTTGATTTTTATCACAACCACTGAAAACACAAAAATATGACATCATTGAAAGGAATGGATCACAATCTAAGGTTAAATGTGTGAACTATCTCAAGCTAATAGTTTATTCTGTGCCCTACATATATCGCTGTGTTTCCCTCAAACATTGAAAATACTGTACAGGATCTTGTGAGTCCTTGATGGTACCCCAGGGCACGTGAGCAGTTAGTTTGGGAAATGCCAAACAGGCATGCCAAAGGTACCAGAGTAACCTTTAAATCTTTCTCCCAAACCTTTCATATCCAATCAACAATAAAGATGTGTCTATCCTGCCATTTTAATGTCTTACATATTTATTCTTTCTTCTCTATGCCTACTGCCAGTCTATTCCTTCATCCTCTCTCAACTGGAAAGCTGAGCAAACAGTTCAACTTCTACCCCGATGAGATAGCTAATATTATGTGTCAACTTGATTGGATCAAAGGATGCCTAGACGGCTGGTGAAGTATTGTTTCTGGGTGTGTCTGGGAAGGTGATGCCAGAGAAGATTGAGATTTGATTTGGTAGACTCTAAGAGGTGCCAATGTGGGTGGGCACCATCCAATTGGCTGCCAGCAGGGTAAGAACAAAGCAGCCAGAAGGAGGAGGATAAGCAGCTTGCAGCATTTCTTGCTCTCTCTCTTCCCTTGCTACAAGCTTTTCTTCCTCTCTCCTGCCCATGGACATCAGACTCCAGGTTCTACAGCCTTTGGACTCCGGGTCTCCCTTGGGGCTCTCCTGCCTTCAGCATCAGACTCAAGGCTGCACTATCAGCTTTCTTGGTTTTGAGGCTTTCAGACTTGGACTGAGCCTCTACTGGCTTCTCTTTTTCCCCAACTTGCAGATGCCTATCGTGGGACTTTGCCTTGTAATCGTATGGGCCGATTCTCTCTAATAAACTCCCTTTTATGTGTGCATATATCCTATTGGATCTGTCTCTCTGGAGAACCCTAATATACTCAATTTTCTCTCCTCCAACTTATTTTCCATCTTTCTGCCAGTGCCAGACTTTTTATTTAAAAATCCCGATCTATCTTTGTTTCACTTGCATGACATTCTTCAGTGGCTCCTTTGATATCATGATCTGACCCCTGTGAATTCTCAGCGCTTTCCACGTCTTCAACCTCTATCCAGCTGTAGTCAGCTACATCCATGCCACATATTCTTTCTTACTTCATTGACATTGTTGCTGCTTTATCTTACTAGAAGCCTTTCTAGCCCTTTATTCACCTGGTGAATGACTACATAATTGTCAAATATTAGTCCAAATGTCACTTTTCCTGATGTTCTTATAGTGTCTCACTTGTCTGTACCAACATCACTCCGTGAATACCTTCATAAGGGCACTTTTCAAAACATGATAGTGCTTAGACCAATAGCCATCACTTATTGGAAACTTCACTAATATTAAGTTGATGAAATAATATGAATAATATATGTCAGTTTAGGCAATAGATAAATGTTCTGTAAAGCCACCCTATTCTATCTCCTTTTTGAGAGCCTAGACTAGAATGAAGCTGTCTTTGAACCTGTTTCCACAGAGGTTGACCAATTCTTTTTAGAGAAAACTACTCTGATACATTTTAAAGAAAACCTATAAAATTTGGAAATATGGTGCATCCTTTAAAAAGAAATTTAGATTACATACGGGAGGCCACAATTCAAGCTTGACCCCTGTTCTTATCTTGTCATACCCTGCCTATGCCAGCAATAAACCAACCCAGTCCAGTACTTCTGCAATAGAGCCACAATAGAGTCTCTGACAATCCCTTGAAGAATGGCTTCAAACCACCAGGTTGAAAGCCCTAGCAGTGCCATCTGGAAATCTCTCCTTCTGCATTGTGGCCTGTAATGACTGGCAAAATCCAGAAATCAGTGAATCAGGAACTTAGAAAAACATGAGAAGCTAGGCTTTCAGAGACTGCAAGGGAAAAAAAACCATCTTAACCTAGTCTGCCTTGCATAGGGTTCAGAAAATCGCTGGGCATTTTAAAGGAAATTCTGCCCTTTGAGTCTAAGTACAATGTCATAGCAATGAACTCCCATTCATTCTCATACAATCCACTCAACCAGATAACTGTGAAACATTCTTGCTTCCTTACTTTTGGGAATAGGGCCTCTGGAGAGTCATGATCCACTATCACATAGACTACATATTTGATGGTCTCAAACTCCTTACTACCATCATCTTGGCAGATAATGAAATTATAAAATATTTGTCTCATAAAAGAGTTTAATGGTCTCTTTACCCCATCAGTTAAAGCCTTAGTATTCTTTACATGAAAAAAGAGGAATGAGCTTTGTAGAGTTTCTGTGAAATCACCACTGGAATTTATCCCTGATACCTCTAAATCCCAACCTGTTGAACTATTTACAAGATGTCCAGATTCTTCTCAGTTTTGGATTTTCAAAAAGTAAATGAGAGGATTTAAATAGAAAAACACCTTCCACTTATAATTAGGCAAATCAGAGATCCAATTAGGGATTTTGACTCTTCACATATGTCACTAATGGAGTTCCCATATGATATGGTTTGGATGTTTTTCTCCTCCAAATATCATATTGAAATGTGATTTCCAGTGTTGGAGGTAGGGCCTGGTGGGAGATATTGGGTCATGAGAGCGGATCTCTCATGAATGGTTTAGCACCATCTCCTTGCTGATTGGTGAGTTCTTGCTTAGTTAGTTTACAGTTTTGAGATCTGGTTGTTTAAAAGAGTCTGAACCTTCCCCAGTTCTCTCTTTCTTACTCCCTCTCACCATGTGATATGCCTGTACCCTCTTCACCTTCCCTCATGACGGGAAGATTCCTGAGGCTATCCCCAGAAGCAGATGCTGGCACCATGCTTCCTACATGGGCTACAGAACTTTAAGTCAATTAAATCTCTTTTCTTTATAAATTACTCAGCCTTAGGTATTTCTTTATAGCAACTCAAGAACAGAATAATATGTCATATATCTATGAATGAGATTTTTCATAATTCAGTGAAAAAAGGGGAAAACTAACCACTTAGCCATAAATCAGAGGATGCTTATAGCAGTACTGTCTTCACATTTTGAAAACATCTGCTTTGATTGTATACAGCTGTGAACTCACAGGTACTACTCCTCCAAAAAATAACAAGATTCAGTAGCTTTACAGGTTTGTGGACAACAGGTAATTACTAGTTTTACAGGTTGGTGTTTGATTTCCTCAGTGTCTCTTCTCAAATTCTCCCTCCAAAGGATATTTAACAAAATAAAGGAAGGTTTTGGATTGAAGAGATGTCCAAAAGTCTGGAATAACACTTGACTTATGGCTACACTGCTATACAGACAACCAAGTGGAACATGTGAGCATGTAAGCCTAGTTATAAGTGCTACATCTCACAAAAATGTGAGATGTTAAAAGCCCCAAGTCCTAAGGTTTATCAGGTCATTTATTCATTTGATCTGCCAATATTTAAGGGCCTTCTCTGTGCAAGATGTTGTGGATACAAGAAAACATAAGGTCTCAGTTCTTAACAAGCTTACATTGTAATGGGCAGTTGATCAGTACCACCTTTACATATGAGCCCCATAATTTGGATGGAACCACATGTAACAAGCACAAAAACAATTCATGCTTTAAGGGCTTTGACTCTCAGGTTTTGGTGTTCAGCATCAAATCAGGACAACCTATAACCCCAAACATGATTCTCAGACTCTAGGGAAAGACTTTTTCACATTTTATGCTTTGTCTTCAAAACCAAAGGCCACCATGTCTGAATGATGTGAAGGTTTGTATGTTATGTTGCTGATATTGTCAAAGGATGCTGACACTGCTATGGAGTATGGAGAACATTGGAACAGCATATGCACTTAGGTAAGAGAAAAGCAAACTTAGTTAAATTGCAAAATCCTTTCCTTCAGATAGCATGATGCTTTGGTCTCTAATATAACAGAATCATTCCTAGATGAGCTGAGCACTCATTTTCTTGCTGAAGATCTGTTTCCATTCATGTTTCCAAAGGTACTCAGAATTAGTGCTGTTTCACAAGTTCCCGTGGCAG
The DNA here is from genome assembly GCF_000001405.40 of Homo sapiens. Lineage (NCBI taxonomy): Eukaryota > Metazoa > Chordata > Mammalia > Primates > Hominidae > Homo > Homo sapiens. The sequence continues at coordinate 115,491,517 of NC_000006.12, forward strand.
CTGAGGAATATTTAGCATTGTTTAAAAAGGCTTTCACTCTTAAATATATGTCTATGTAAGCCTAAATGTAACATGCTTAGAGTATGGTTTATATTCTTCACACTAGCAAGGAGATGGACATTGAACATGAGAATTTCTAAGTTTTCTTTCCACAAAAATATCTTATAAGATTTCAGATATTTTAAAAATTAAACTAAAAATGTAGCTAAATTTAAATAATTAAACTTTAACTTTTGTTGTTTATTAATTATTGGATTCTGCATTTACTACATATTGCTGAAATATTTTAGAAGAAAAGTAAGTTTGAATATATCTGAAAATAGTTTAAATTTTTCAAGTTTTTATACTAACATATTACATTTCTATAAAAGTATATTCAAAGCCTGTTTATTTTAAATATAAATAATTTTTAACCATTTATATCATCAATAGAACACAAGTTATTTAAAATCTTCATTAAGTAATCAGTGATTTTGCTGAAATAAAAAGGAAGATTAATTTTAAAGAATAAATAAGACTTTAAAGAATTATATGTGTCTTGATTTAGCTAAAAATTGCAGACTCATCAGCAGAAAATAATACATACATAATAAAAATTCAATTTTGATTTCTAAATATGTTCCAGTGTTTGGTAATATAATCATAGTATTTTGATTTTTTAAAAATCATTATGAAGGCAAGGAGGTAAAACATTTTACTCAACATTTTGGTAGTTCCATTTTTAGCTATGAATGTTTGGCATATAGTATGTGGGCTTGCATTTGTATTCTTGTCCTCGATTGTCAGTGATATGATGTGTATTACTCTGTTTTTACACTGCTGATAAAGACATACCAGAGACTGGGAAACTTACAAAAGAAAGAGGCTTAACTGGACTCACGGTTGCATGTGACTGGGGAGGCCTCACAATCACGATGGAAGACAAGGAGGAGCAAGTCTCATCTTACATGTGGCAGCAGGCAAAAAAAGAGCTTGTGCAGGACAACTCCTTTTTTAAAACCATCAGATCTCTTGAGACCCATTCACTATCATGAGAACAGCATGGGAAAGACCCCCCTTCATTATTCAGTCATCTCCTACTGGGTCCCTCCCATAACATGTGGAAATTATGGGAATTATAAGATGAGATTTGGGTGGGGACACAGAGCTAAACCATATCATTCCGCCCCCTGCCCCACTCAAATCTCCTATCTTCACATTTCAAAACCAGTCATGCCATGCCTTCCCAACAGTCCCCCAAATTCTCAACCCATTTCAGCATTAACTCAAAAGTCCACAGTCCAAAGTCTCATCCAAGTCAAGTCATGTCCCTTCCACCTATGAGCCTGTAAAATCGAAAACAAGTTAGTTACTTCCTAGATACAATGAAGGTACAGGCATTGAGTAAACATACCCATTCCAAATGGAAGAAATTGCCAAAACAAAGGGGCTACAGGCCCCATGCAAGTCTGAAATCCAGTGGAGCAGTCAAATCTTAAAGCTCCAAAATGAGGTCCTTTGACTCCATGTCTCACATCCAGGTCATGCTGATCCAAGAGGTAGGTTCCCATAGTCTTGGGCAGATCTGCCCCTGTGGCTTTGCAGGGTACAGCTATTGGGGGAAACCAGCCCCCGATATTCAACATGGGTTCTTTTCTGTTTCCTTAAGTGTTGGTGGGTCTGAGAAATAAAGGGAAAGAGTACAAAAGAGAGAAATTTTAAAGCTGGGTGTCCGGGAGAGACATCACATGGCGGCAGGTTCTGTGATGCCCCCTGAGCCATAAAACCAGCAAGTTTTTATTAGCAATTTTCAAAGGGGAGGGTGTGTACGAATAGGGTGTGGGTCACAGAGATCACATGCTTGAAGGGCGACAAAAGATCACAAGGCAGAAGGTCAGGGTGAAACTAGAATCACTAATGAACTTCCATGTCCTGCTGTGCACGCATTGTCAGGGTTCAAAAGCAGAGAACCGGTCTGACTAGAATTCGCCAGGCTGGAATTTCCTAATCCTAGCAAGCCTGGGGGCACTGCAGGAGACTAGGGCATGTTTCATCCCTATCTACATCTGCATAAAGGCAGACACTCCCAGGGCAGCCATTTTAGAGGCCCCGCCCTGGGAATGCATTCTTTCCTCAGAATTATTAATTATAATAATTAATATTGATTAGTTATAATTAATATGATTAATAATAATTAATCATATTAATAATTCTGTTAATTATTAATATTCCTTACTGGGGAAAGAATTCAGCAATATTTCTCTTACCCATTTTCAGTAATAAGAGAAATATGGTTCTTTCCTGACTGGCCCACAGGCAGCCAGACTTTCAGGTTATCTACCTTGTTCTCTGAACATCACTGTTACCCTGTTCTTAAGGTGCCCAGATTTCATATTGTTCAAACAATTTGGGCAGTTAACACAATCATCACAGGGTCCTGAGGCGACGTTCATCCTCAGCTTACGAAGATGACAGGATTAAGAGATTAAAGTAAAGACATGCAGAGGGAATCACAAGAACATTGATTGGGGAAGTGATAAGTGTCCATGAAATCATCACAATTTATGTTCAGAGATTGCAGTAAAGACAGGCGTAAGAAATAATAAAACTATTAATTTGGGGAACTAATAAATGTCCATGAAATCTTCACAATTTATGTTCTTTTGCCATGGCTTCAGCCAGTCCCTCCATTCAGGGTCCCTGACTTCCTGCAACAACTGCCTCACTCCAGGCTGCTTTCACGGGCTGGCACTGGGTGTCTGTGGCTTTTCCTGGTGCACGGTGCAAGCTGTCAGTGGATCTACCATTCTGGGGTCTGGAGGATGGTGATCCTCTTCTCATAACTACACTAGGTGATACCCCAGTAGGGACTCTGTATGGGGGCTCCCAACCCACATTTCCCTTCTAAACTGCCCTAGCAGAGGTTCTCCATGAGGACCTCATGTATTCTTGGTCTTCTTTATAAAATTATGCTGGGCACCCAGGCATTTCCATACGTGCTCTGAAATCTAGGGGAAGGTTCCCAAACCTCAATTCTTGACTTCTCTGCACCTGCAGGTTCAACACCATGTGGAAGCTGCCAAGGCTTGAGGCTTGCACCCTCTGAAGCCATGGCTGAACTCTTAAGTTTGCTCCTTTCAGCCCAGGCTGGAGTGGCTGGGATGCAGGGCACCAAGTCCCTAGTCTGCACACAGCACAGGGCCCACACATGAAACCACTTTTTCCTCATAGGTCTCCAGGCCTGTGACGCACATGAAACCATTTTTTTCCTCATAGGCCTCCAGGCCTGTGACGGGAAGGGATGCTGTGAAGACCTCTGACATGCCCTGGAGAAAATTTCCCCATTGTCTTGGAAATTAACATTTGGATCTTTGTTACTTATGCAAATTTTTGCAACTGGCTTGGATTTTGCCTTAGAAAATGGGCTTTTCTTTTCTATCACGTTGTCAGGCTATGAATTTTCTGAACTTTTATGTTGTGCTTCCCTTATAAACTGAATGCCTTTAACAGCACCCAAGTCATCTCTTGAATGCTTTGCTGCTTAGAAATTTCTTCCACCAGATACCCCAAATCATCTCTCTCAAGTTTGAATTTTCACAAATCTCTAAGGCCGGGGCAAAATCCTGCCGGTCTCTTTGCTAAAACATAACAAGAGTCACCTTTGCTCCAGTTCCCAAGAAGTTCCTCAATCTGAGACCACCTCAGCCTGGACGTTATTATTCATATCACTATCAGCATTTTTGTCAATGCCATTCAACAAGTCTCCAGGAAGTTCCAACATTTCCCACATTTTCCTGTCTCCTTCTGAGTCTTCCAAACTGTTTCAACCTCTGCCTGTTACCCCGTTTCAAAGTTGCTTCCACATTTTCAGGTATCTTTTCAGTAGTACCCCACTCCTGGTACCAGTTTACTGTATTTGTCCATTTTCATGCTGCTGATAAAGAAATAACAGAGATTGGGCAATTTACAAAAGAAAGAGGCTTAATTGGACTCACAGTTCCACATGGCTGGGGAAGCCTCACAATCACGGCAGAAGGCAAGAAGGAGCAAGTCATATCTTATGTGGATGGTGGCAGGCAAATAAAAGCTTGTGCAGGGCAACTCCTGCTTTTAAAACATCAGATCTCATGAGACCCATTCACTATCACAAGAACAGCATAGGAAAGACCCACCCCCACAATTCAGTCATCTCTCACTGGGTTCCTCTCACAACATGTGGGAATTATGGGAGCTACAAGATGAGATTTGGGTGGAGAAACAGAGCCAAACCATATCATGATGTGACATTACATGACATGATGTGACATTACAACATAATAGAGAATGATTGGGTGGGTGCTGGATGTATGCTAGACAAAAAAATAAACCTTGAACAAGACAGAATGACCAAAAGGAGTTATAAGAAAGAAGATTCACTCAGTGTCAAGCATGGTAATCTGTTTTCTTCACTGGATTTCAATTTTAAGAATGCTTTGTTTGAGGAAAGAAAATGACACCGGATTTAATCTTGACACATGGTATCAAGAAGCTTTCAAAAAAGAAGCCTTTCTTCTTTCACCTCTTGGTTCTAGGCCTATGCCCTCTCTATGGGAGTATGTTGTTTGTGCCTAATGTGTCAGTGGAGTTTGGGGTATTAAACTGCAATTAATGTACAAATCAAAACATAGAAAATTGCCTCTCATCACAAATAAAAGCACAGAAAATTAGTTGGTATGATAGAAAAAACTAGAAATACTCAAAGTTGATAATCCCTTTTGCTAAGCAAATATATGACATAAATGACAATTTGTACACAGTTTAGAAATTTTGCCTGTAATTTGTCTAAATGATTGACTTAGACAAAATAAAAAGGAACCAATGCTTCAGGTATTCTATAAACAGTTTTGCAGAAGTTACCAGTAGATTCTACAGCCTTTGCATTGGAGAGTCTCACAGTGCAGTGATTACAGCGGAGATGCTAGAGTGACACATCAAGTCAAGCCCTGGCTGTACAAATTACCAGCCAGCTTTCCTTAGCAATATCCTTACTATCTCTGAACCATCTCCTTATCATCTGTAAAATGGGGCTAATATGATCCACCTCCTATTTTGGATTAAAAGAGATGCTGAATATAATGTGATCTGAAAAGTGCTTGGCACTTAGAAGGGGCAGCAAGCAATGAACAGTAGTTTGTGCATAAATATTAATTTAAAATTTACCTCTACAAAAAAATTTAGAAAATAAAAACCCATTTTGTAAGAATGCACCAGATTTCAGAACACTAGAAGAGTTTCTTAGTTTTATTTCCCCAAATGTTTTAGTTATTACAGTTTTAATTTATGGTTGGTATTGAAAATTTGATAGCAGCAGCAAAACTATCCATTTTGTTAAATTAATTAAAAGTCACAACACCAAGATGCACCTTAGGATACACTAAAAAATTCTCTATTTCCCATTTATTTTACTGTGGGAAAATACATTTTCCTCACTTGTTTCAGCAAAGTAATCAGAATATTTCTGAGTTAATTATTTTTTGTTCATTAATCCATGCTTAAATGTTACTAAATCCTATCTTATTAACAGATTTATTATTTTATCTTTTATAATCACTATGACTGAATATTTCTTTGAAATGGCAATGTCTGCAATGGGAAGCTAGAACAGCATGAATGTCTCTAAAAACAAGGTTGCAGATGGATTTTGAAGTTTATTCTTTTTGCATCAGTTTATAGTCACGGCTTTTGCCTAAACCTTAAAGTAACATGTTTCTAATCTTATTCTTTGACGTATTTTTTTTAAATGAGCTTAAAAAATTTTTAAGAATAGATTCTGGATATTCTTTTGGTGACAGAACAAACAAACAGGCTATATATGAAAGAGATATATAAATTATCCATCTGTTTGGCACAGTTCTTGCATATTTTATGAAAATGTCTTCTTGTGTCTTCTTTTATAATTATTTTATAGGCTATAATACCACACCTCTAGAAACATAAGTTCATATAGTAGATTTCAAAAGTAGCCATACTTCGTTGTAGTTCTATTAAGCTACTCCCATCAAAAAGTACAGTCGGTTTCTCTGTCCCTTAAATTAAAGTTCGCCTTGTGACTTCTTTTGACCAATAAAATGTTGTGGAAGTGATGTCCAAATATTAAGCTGGGCTTCTGAAGGTTTTAAATGCTTCTGCTCTCCCTCTTGGAATTCCTCCACCAATTAAAATATACAGAAAAGCATAAAGAATAATCTAAATTATGTCAATTTTCTTCCCCCTAAACTAGTAGTGATAACTTATTGTCAGATTTGCCAGGTTGTTTTTAATTTATATTTTTTATTTTATTATTTATTATTATTATTTTATTTTTTGAGATGGAGACTCACTCTGTCGCCCAGGCTGTGTGCAGTGGTGCAATCGTGGCTCACTGGAACCTCTGCCTCCTGGGTTCAAGTGATTCTCCTGCCTCAGCCTCTCGAGTAGCTGGGATTACAGGCACCCACCACCAAACCCAGCTAATTTTTGTATTTTTAGTAGAGACAGGGTTTCATCATGTTGGCTAGGCTGGTCTTGAACTCCTCGAGTGATTGCCTGCCTTGGCCTCCCAAAGTGCTGGGATTACAGGCATGAGCCATCATGCCTGGCCTATTTTTTAAATGTTTGTGAGTACATAGTAGGTGTATGTATTTACGGTGTACATGAGATGTTTTGATACAGGCACGCCAGGGAAAATAAGCATATCATGGGGAATGAGATTTGCCAGTTTTTAAAGAACTAAAGCTTACAAATAAAGTCCTCTTTAATCTTTCTAACATTACATCACTTGCCATTCTTCATCGTTAGCCCTCCATAGCAGATGCTAAGAATTGTGCACCCAGTTTTCCAGTATCTATCTATCATTTATTTACCTATTTATTCATTCATCTATCTGTATATCTAGATGTGCATACATACATATATGCAGATACAAAACCTCATACACACATACATGTATATATGTAGGCATAAATGCTATATATACATATGTGATTACTGGCCAATATATACTCTTTGGGGATAGTAGTTTCTATTTGCATAAATGGTGTTTTTCTTCATATATCATTCTGCACATCTTATTTCTTCTCATTATGTTTTTGAAATACAGTCAGCCCTCCATATCAGTGGGTTCCACATCTACAGATTCAACCAACCATGAATTGAAAACATTCAGCAAAAAACAATAAAAATAACAATACAGCAATAAAAAAATTTAAAAATAAGTATAGCAACTATTTGTATAGCATTTACATTGTATTAAGTATTATAAGTAATCTAAAGATTAAAGTATCCTGGAAGTTGTACATAGGTTATATGCAAATACTAGGTCATTTTACATAAGGGACTTGAATGTCTGTGAATTATGATATCCATGGGAGTCCTGAAATAAATTCTCCTCGGGCACAGAGGGAGGACCATCTATTCTTGTTGATATCTAAAAATCTGATTCACCTTTTTCAATCTTACATTGTTTGACTTCATCACATTTTATTCATTTGTTCTCCTATTTCAGGGCACTTAAGAATGTTTCCCATTTTTGAAATAGTAGTATACAATAATGGGCATCATTGCTTTATTTTTGCACATTTTAAAGAATTTCTCTAGGTACATATCCAGAAACAGTTTTGCTTATGCAAAGGATGTGGTTGATATGTATTTTTCATTACTGTTTCAAATGTATTGAACACTTCATTTACATTTCAGTATTTTCCAAATTGTGAGTGAATCCTTGCTTTCCAATATGGAATAAGGAAAAAATCCCCAGTCTTTCTTTCTGAAATGGTGCAGGTTTGGGAATTACATTCCACTCATCAGACACAGCTTTACTACCCTAATATGCATAAGACAGCTACAAAAGAAAACAGAAAGCTTAAGGCATGCACTTGGCTAGCATGGGAGCAATGTTAAAGAAGCATGTAACTGGGTTCAGTGGTGTTAATGGCAGCACAGCCTCATGGCAAGGGCATCACAAGACAGTACATAACTGAACAGTAACAGCAGCTCCTATTTGGACAATTTTGCAGTGTGGTTTTGCTCCTTGTCTCTGTAACATTAGCCTAGAGTTTATTTCTCCAGCTCTTCCAGCATTTCTGTAACTGTTCTCCAATAGATTTACTTAATGTTTAGGCATGTCAGGAGTCTGTATTTAGAAACAAAGAAACTGATATACAAATGCTGTTAACTTTTTTACCAGATTCTGGCAAATTGCTCCCCAAAGACAATACACATTACTAATTTACAAGAATAATATTTCCCCACTGAATGACAGATATTTATATTTTTTCCAAAACTGATAAATACTGTGCCTTGTCTTTTACTTCAATTTGCATTTTCCTATCAATGAGATTGAATGTAGTTCTATGAGATTTATATTTCCTTTCCTATAAAGTGATTGCTCATACACTTCATCACTTGTTCTATTGAGCTGCTACAAATGTGTTAATTCATTGTTAATTCTGTGTTAATTCATTGTTATTATTAAAGGTCTAGTTAGAACTGTATTAGAATATACTACAAATAATAAATGTATATTTATTATATATTTTGTACCTGCATATATTTTTTCTCCCTCTGTTGTCTGCCTGCTAATCTTGTGAATGTCATCTTTTGCAGAAGAGGTTTTGTTGTCACTGTTTAATAAGTACATGTTGTCAAATTTGTTGAGCCTTTCCAGCAGAACTTTCTTGTTTACAAAATTAATTTTTGTCTATAGTTTAAGAAATTGTTTTTTAAACAGGAGTCAGGAAACATTCTTTTATATTTTCTTCTGATAATTTTTAAATTTTTATTTTACATTTAGCTCTCCAAGTACTTGAAGTTATTTTATGTGTAGTGTGAGGTTGGGACCCAATTTTATATTTTTCATAAAGATAGCCAATGCCAAGAACTGTGAAGAGTCTAATATTTTACCCTACAGGTAAGCTAAAATGTTTACCTCACCCCATTATATGGATATTGGTAAAAGATGTGAGATTCCTGGGTCGATAATGACAGTTTACTAATTGTTGCAATCAACATTTTTTTTGCCCTGATTCCCAGAGTTTCAATTCCTACCAGGCAACATTAAGAGGATAAGGTGACACCTGCTCACATGCCACGGATTGCCTTATAAGAAAGGAACCCTGAGTTAAGGGAACCCAAATCTTTTATAAGGGAAGTAAGTATGCCTGCCTCTTGCTCTAGAAGGAGTCTTCCAAGTGTGTTGACTATAGAAATACTCTGAAATAACTATTGGAACAAAGAGGATGGCAGAAACACAAAGGACCTATGGGGAATGTATCTAATAGCCCATTGTCTGGACAATATTTTCCTACTGAAATCTTTCCTCTTTCATGAAAAATTTCAAGATCAATATATATGAAACAAATGTATGCATACATTCTTGGCTTTATATTATGTTCTATTGATCCATGTGTTATAACGAATCCAGGTTCACATCATTTCATCATTTTAATTAAAATCCCTTGTTTAAAACTTTATACGTGGTAATAGATGCCTATTACCCTTTTGTTTTTGTGAAAAACCAATTAGTTTTAGTTTTTTGGGAAAATTTACTCTTCCAAATTTATTTTAGAATCTGTTAAGGTTTTTGAACAACACTCGTAGATATTTTGTTTGAATGACATTAAATATAGAAATTAATTTGGAAAAAAATTATGTTTTTAGTGATGTGTCTTACCATCCACTGATATAGCATGCCTCTACATTTACTCAGGTCTTCCTTGAAAGCTCTGGAAATCTTTTATTCACCATGTTATATGGTTTGGCTGTGTCCCCACTCAAAATCTCATATTGACTTATCCCCATAATCTCCACACGTTCAGGGCATGTATTAGTCTGTTCTCATGCCGCTAATAAAGACATACCCAAGACTGCATAATTTATAGGAAATTTATTATTTATAGGAAAGAATTTAATGGACTCCATTCCATATGGCTGAAGAGGCCTCACAATCATGGCAGAAGGCAAAGGAGAAGCAAGGGAACATCCTACATGGTAGCAGGCAACTTGTGCAGGGGAACTCCCATTTATAAAATCATCAGACCTCATGCGATTTATTCACTACCACAAGAACAATATGGGGGAAACTGCCACCATGATTCAATTATCTCCACCTGGCCCTGCCCTTGACATGTGGGAATTATTACAATTCAAGGTGAGATTTGTGTGGGAACAGAGCCAAACCATATCACGGCAGCAGCAGGTGGAGGTAATTGGACCATGGAGGTGGTTTCCCCCATGCTGTTCTCATGACAGTGAGTGACTTCTCATGAGATCTGACGATTTTATAAGCCTCTGGCACTGCCCCTGCTTGCACTCACTCTGTCCTGCCATCCTGGGTATAAGGTGCCTGTTTCTCCTTTGCTTTCCACCACGATTCTAAGTTTCCTGAAGCCTCCTCAGCAATGCGGAACAGTGAGTCAATTAAACCCCTTTTCTTTATAAATTACCCAGTCTCAGGTATTTCTTCATAGTGTGAGAATGGACTAATACAGTAAGTTGGTACCAAGGCAGTGGGGCACTGCTATAAGGATACCCGAAAATATGGAAACAGCTTTGGAACTGGGTAACTTGAAGAGGCTGGAACAGTTTGGAGGGCTCAAAAGAAGACAGAAAAATATGGGAAAGTTTGGAACTTCCCAGAGACTTGTTATATGGCTTTGACCATAACGCTGATAGTGATATGGACAATGAAGTCCAGGCTGAGGTGGTCTCAGATGGAGATAAGGAACTTGTTGGGAACTAAAGTAAAGGTGACCCTTGCTATGTTTTAGCAAAGAGACTGGTGGCATTTTGCCCCTGCCCTAGAGATCTGTGGAACTTTGAACTTGAGAGAGATGATTTAGGGTATCTGGCAGAAATTTCTAAGCAGCAAAGCATTCAAGAAAAAGCAAAGTATAAAGGTTTGGAAAATTTGCAGCCTGATGATGTGACAGAAAAGGAAAACCCATTTCCTGGAAAGAAATTCAAGCCAGCTGCAGAAATTTGCATAAATAACAAGGAGCCAAATGTTAATCACCAAGACAATGGGGAAAATATCTCCAGGGCATGTCAGAGACCTTCATTACAGCCCCTCCCATCACAGGCCCAGAGACCTAGGAGGGAAAAATCATTTCGTGGATTGGGCCAATGGTCCCCTTGCTCTGTGCAGCCTCAGGGCATGGTGCCCTACATCCCAGCTGCTTCAGTTCCAGCTATGGCTAAAAGAGGCCCAACGTACAGCTGGGACCACTGCTTCAGAGGGTGCAAGCTCCAAGCCTTGGCAGCTTACATGTGGTGTTGGGCATGTAGGTGCACAGAAGGCAAGAATTGAGATTTGGGAACCTCTGCCTGGATTTCAGAGGATGAATGGAAATGCCTGGATTGTTCAGGCAGAAGTCTGCTGCAGGGGTGGATCCCTCAAGGAGAGCATCTGTTAGGGCAGTGCAAAAGGAAAATGTGTGTTGTGAGCCCCCACACACAGTCTTCACTGGGGCATTGCCTAGTGGAGCTGTGAGAAGAGGGCCACTGTCCTCCAGACCCCAGGTAGATCCACCAACACTTGCACCGTGCGCCTGGAAAAGCCACAGGCACTCAATGCCTGCCTGTGAATGCAGCTGGTAGTGCGGCTGTATCATGCAAAGCCAGAGAGGTGGAGGTACCCACGGCCATGGGAGCCCCCCTCTTGCATCAGTGTGCCTTGAATGTGAGACATGGAGTCAAAGGAGATTATTTTGGAACTTTAAGATTTAATGACCGCCCTATTGGATTTTGGACTTGCACGGGGCCTATAGTCTCTTTGTTTTGGCCAATTTCTCCTATTTGAAATGAGTGTATTTACCCAATGCCTGTACCTCCATTGTATCCAGGAAGTAATTAATTTGCTTTTGACTTTATAGGCCATAGGCAGAAGGGACTTGCCTTGTCTCAGATGAGACTGGACCTGGACTGTTGGGTTAATGCTGGAATAAGTTAAGATTTTGGTGGACTGTTGGAAGGGCATGATTGTGTTTTGACATGTGAGACCATGAGATTTGGGAGGGGTCAGTGGCAGAATGATATGGTTTTGCTGTGCCCCCACCCAAAATCTCATCTTGAATTATAATTCTCATAATCCTCATGTGTCAAAGGTGGGACAGGTAGAGGTAATTGGATCATGGGAGTGGTTTTCCCTATGTTGTTCTCATGATAGTGAGAGAGTCTCACAAGATCCAATGGTTTTATAAGCCTCTGGCATTTCCCCTGGTTGCACTCATGCCATCCTAACACCTTGTGAAAAGGCGTCTGCTTCTCCTTTGCATTCCACCATGATTGTAAGTTTTCTGAGGCCTCCCCAGCAATGTGGATCTGTGAGTCAGTTAAACCTCTTTTCTTTGTAAATCACCCAGTCTTAAGTATTTCTTCACAGCAATGTGAGAACAGACTAATACATCATGTTAATTTGTAAATTGTATTTACTATAGTTAGCTTTATTTCTTTTTTTATATTTCTTTTTATTATATTTATCATGCCCTTTTTTCCTACATTATTTCATTCTTGTTTGTAATTTATTTATTCTGGCTGGGCACGGTGGCTCACATGTGTAATGCTAGTATTTTGGGAGGCTGAAGCAGGCAGATTGCTTAAGCTCAGGAGTTCGAGACCAGCCTGGGTAACATGGCAAAACCCCATCTCTACCAAAAATACGAAAAATTAGCCAGGTGTAGTGGTGTGTGTCTGTGGTCCCAGCTACTTGGGAGGCTGAGGCAGGAGGATCACTTGAGCCTGGGAGGCAGAGGCTGCAGTGAGCTGAGATCACACCACTGCACTCTGGCCTAGGTGACAGAGTTAGATCCCATCTCAAAAAAAAAAAAAAGAAATTTATTTATTCTGGGTTTTTTTTTGCATTGCTTTTCTTGTAATAGTTTGCATATTAAATGTATTTTTCAAGCTATGTCTGGAAATAATCATGTCTATTAGCCCCTTCACAAATAAGACTTTAACCTCAGCATAGTTTAACTATTCCAACCACTCTTGCCATCTTCCTCATAAATACTATTTAGAATTTCAGTTCCAATATTTTATTTTCAGACAATACTAATTTTTGCTAATTTAAATGCTCATCATTTGATATTGTCTGTATGTCCAAGTCTCACATCAAAACATGATTCCTACTGTTGGAGATGGAGCCTAGTGGGAGGTATTGGATCATGGGGGCAGATCCCTCATGAATGGCTTGATGTCCTTCCCATGGTAATGAGTGCATTCTTGACTAGTTGGTTCACATGAGATCTAGTTGTTTAAAAGAGTCTGAGACCTCCTCCTCTCTCTCTTGCTATGTGATATACCTACTGTCCTTTCCCCTTCCACCACTACTGGAAGCTTCCTCAGGCCCTCATCAGAAGCAGATGTTGGTGCTATGCTTTTTGTACAGTCTGCAGAACGATGAGCCGAATAAACCTCTTTTCTTTCAAATTACCTGTCTCAGATATTCCTTTATAGCAATGCAAATGGACTAATATACTATCTTTGTGATATATTGCTACTTTCTCCATGATTCACTTTTTCTTTATAATGGATTGTATCATCTCTTTGTTTTTTGTTTTTTTTCAAAGAAAGTCTGAAGGTAGTTAACCCTTTGAGTGTCAATTGGCCATACAGTGTATTTTAATCCTCTGAATCGGATAATGGTTTTTCTGGATAAAGAATTCCAGATGTAGGCTGGGCATGGTGGCTGACACCTTTAATTCCAGCCCACTGGGAGGCTGAGGGGAGAGAATGACTTGAGCCCAGGAGATTGAGACCAGCCAGGACAACATAGAGAGACCTTATCTCTTTTAAAAAAAAGTTTAAATTAGCCAGCATGGTGGCACACTCCTGTAGTCCCAGCTACTTGAGAGGCTGAGGTGGGAAGATTGCTTGAGCCTGGCAGGTCAAGACTACAGTGAGCTATGAATGCACCACTGCACTTTAGCCTGCGTAACAGAGTAAGACGCTATCTCACCAAAGAAAGAATTCTAGATTTAAAATTATTGCCCCTTAGTACTTGAAAGACATGGCTTCATCATCTTGTATCTACTGTTGCTAAAGAGAATTCTAAAACCTATCTAGTTTGTGTTCCATTAAAATTAGTACACATTTATAATGTGAATTGCACTACTTTAGATAAGGTGATCCTTTTCAGCTCACCACCTGCAAGGCTATGAGCAAAACTGTATGTATGCAAGAAGTAAGCAAAAGTCAAACAAGGCACCAAAGAAAGTTCATGAGAAAGAAGCAGACTCTGATAGAAAGATCCCTAGTATACTCCTCACATTTTTTCACTTTCCCTGAAATAATTGTCCACAGGATAAGCGCAGAACATCTATGGGTGAGAGAGGGGGAAAATAAAAATTAAACAACTGGATCTGAGACTTCATGGCACTGCTGTGCCAGCTCTAGACTATAATTTTTTCCAGCCCACTTTCTTCCATTTACTTATATGCAACCAAATTCAATTCTTAGCTATTAGTTCTCTTTCAGATAGTATTTCAACAGTATTCTGTCTTCTCTTCTGGAGTCTCAATAAACACATTTATGTAAGTTTTGATCATTCTTTTCTTACTATTCATTATGTTTACACTTTTGACCTCTTCATTCTTTTCTCTTACATTCTAGATTGATTCCCCAGGCCAATCTTCAAAGGTTACTAATGAACTCTTTTGCTGTCTCTATTCTGCTATTTAGCTTCTCTATTGAATATTAACACAATTAAAGTTTATATTTCCAAAACTTCTACAGGTTGTTTCTTCAACAATAAAATAATCTCACTTATTTTTCTGAGGATATAAAACTTTGCTTATTTAAAGCTTGCTTCTAGTTGTTATATATGTCTGTTTCCTCAGATGTAAGTTCTGTAGTTTTTCTCTCTTTCATGATGCCGGCATGATGCAAATTTATGTCCAGTTCACTCTGATCTTAACCATGTAATATATTACCTACCATACTGGTAGCTCACTCTGCTGCACACCTGGCTTGTTGTAAGGAAGAAATCAGCTGCAAAGGTTGATTCTTTCTTTATTGAGACTAATGCATATCTAGTACACTGGCAGCTGATCTTCTAGCACTACTCACTTTCTTTGCCACTGCAGGCCACCTAGAGTATCCCCTTACCTTGTTGTATCAGGGAAATCTACTGCTTTAACCAGAACCATCCTTTCACAGTTTCTGACCAAAGGAACTGGAGTGATGTACAGATGATCTGCCTGGCAGATCCTGCTTAATTGCCTCAATCAGCTACATTCTTGCAAGTTGCTGTTATCATACTGAACTTCCATGGCACTGCTTCTGTGAAAAACAAACTAAAAGATAACTCTTCTCTAAGCAACCTCATGTGTCTCAGTAGGCTAGTTCTCTCTTCCATCTGATCTTGATTGCTTCTATCACAGATTCTCGACATAGTTTCTCATATTTGAAACTCCCTATTATTGGTTTTAGTGCTGAAGAAGAATAATGCAGAATACATTTTATCTTTATTCTTGAAACTATATTGGGCAAGTAACTTACTATCCAGTGATTCATTTTTCTTTAAAATTGGAATAATATTAGTACTTAGTACCAATAAGGTAGTTGTCAATTGCATGAGTGAATACTGACAGAAGGGTTTATAACATAACTTGACACACAGTAACCACACAATAACTGTTTGTGATGATGATGGTGATAATAATCTTTTAGTAAAGAGAGGATTGTGAGTAAAAAATTGAAAAATAAGAAAATAGTTTCCAAAACTCTGTGTGAAACTAAATTATTTGGGGGTGCTTCAATTTACTTTGTATTTTGTATTTTTTTAAATTTTATGTAACATTTGGAATTAGTTTTATAATTAGGGAAAATAAAAAGTTATAGGAAAAAATTAAAATTTATTCAATTAAGTTACATTTACTTTTTGAGTTAAAAAACCTTTTACACTCATTTGCAACTTTTTTCTCCTAATGTGCTATGTTATGTACATGATTTCATAAATGTAGTAATTTTTAAAATGAAGACATTTTCACCAATACCAATGCCATGATAGAATAACAGTAATAACTCTTAAATAATAATTAGGCTTCTTATGCACGTTCAGGAACTCAGCTTAGCCATGATCTACTCCAAATGTTGCTCATTTGGAGTCCCCTCCATCATTTCCTTTAACAGATAATGACTTAAACACCTAAATCTATGACTTTCACCCCCACCAAACCCTAAGCTATTGAGGACAGGAAGCGTCTTATCCACACTGGTACCCCAGTTTCTGGCACAAGTATGCCAAAACTGTTCTTTAAAATATATATGTACTAAATGAATTGAATTTATTAAAGTAGAAGATAACAATTCAATATTAATAAAAATGTAGGATGCCTGACATGTAGTTTTACCTTTATTTGGGTCTAAAACTAATCATGGTAATAAACATATGATCCCCATTCATGAGAAAATAAATGGCCTCTCACACCACTCCCTCTACTATTATACAATTTATAGTTATTGTATGTATTAACTATTATAAACATTTCATATAAAGAACTTGCTCTCATACTAATCTTTGCCAGAAGATAATAGAACATTGTTAAATAAAATACTTGAAAATGAAAAGAAAACATCAAAATAATAAATAATATTGTAATTTCTTAAAAATGCATAAACTAACTGGAATAAATGTAAAGCTATTTGGGATATGAAATTAATTAATCAATTTTATAAGCTAACATTCCTTCTTCTGTGGCATCAGCTTCATTTCACAGCTATTTATTAACACTTGAGTGATTCGTAAAATATATATGGCCAAGCCTTGATTTCCTTTATATAATCTGGAGCTAGTTTCAAAGTAAACAGGATAAAAATATTTCCAATAAGGCATTTGAGGGAAATATGGTTTTTCAATCAACACAGAGAGAACAGGTGGGAAAATTGGCAAAGGAGTATGGTATAATTGGCTTATTTTAATAGCGTGAATCCCAGGTATCCAGATTTAGGCCCAGAAAGTATATTTCTGAAGACTAATTGGCATAGAACCATTTTAATGACATTTTAAAAATTCTGCTGTTACCTGCCCATACTCATGAAATCTGATTTATATTTTCCATTTGTTGAATTTAATGTGTTTATCTCTGATGAAGAAAAGTAAAAACTATTTCCTATTAAGAGGAAAATCTTGAAGACCACATGTATACATATAATCTAATATTATTAAATTAAGTGGAATGTTAGAATCTGTTTAATCGTGGACATCAATAAGTGTAATTATCTCCTGCATATGTCCTGGGCAAATGGCCAATCCTTTGTTTAAAGAGTTCAAGATTTCAAGCCTTGCTTTCAACCAAAAGCAATCTAATCAATTGTTGAATATTTTGAACTGTTAAAATACTTTTTATTTTATTAAGCCAAAGTTGTGTTCTCATACATTTCATCAACTGGCCTCAATTCTTCTCTAGGAAACTCTGAGTCTACTTCTACTTCCACATTAAAGCTCCTCTTTAAAATATACATATACCCCCCACCCCACACACACACACAGAGGCACACACACACACATGAGATATATATATATGAAATATCCTTTTTGTGCTCTCTCCTCAAACCGTTACTTTTAAAGTGTGATTTCTAAACACTTAATAAACCTGGCTCACCCTCATATGTTTTGTATATACACACACAGATTCTCACAGAATTTATCACTAGCTTGGATGAAATGTAAACCTCTTCAAAACTATAATTTTTACAGCAGATAAAAAACAAAAGATTTTTTTACTTATCTAAGCTTATGCAGAATGAGTTTTTCACTATAATTTAAAATATTCCATACAAAGGACTTTGCAGTTTTCAAATTTGTGTCTTTAGTAACTTGATTTCTTAATATATGGCAAATTAAAGTAGCTAAACTTGGCTGTAACCTGGGGCTTACAATGTGTCATTTTTGTAGAATCTCAGAGTATATGTGGTAAATTAAATTATTTCTCTATATTTTTTCTTTGTTTTACTTCTGGTAAAACTGAAAAAAATTAAAATTGAATTTTGATTTTTGTTTTTGAAACATGGTCACACTCTGTTGCCTAGGCTGTGGTGGAGTGGCACAATCATTGCTCCCTGCAGCCTCAAACTCCTGGGCACAAGTGATTCTCATCCTATCTCAGCCTCCAGAGTAGCTGGGACTGCAGGCATGCACCACCACAACCAGCTAATTTCTTTTTTAAAAATTTTATACAGATGAGATCTTGCTATGTTGCCCAAGCTTGTCTTGAACTCCAACCTGGTCTTTCTCGTCCTCCCTCGGTCTTCCAAATTGTTGAGATTTACAGGTATGAGCCACCACACAAGGCCGAATTTTGGTTATTTCTAAGCTAGATTCTTATGTGTGAAACATATTAACTGTAAACCCAAGGGTTTTAAAATCACCAGCAATTCTCCCACATTTACTATAACAAATTCTTTCTAGCCATTGTGAATAATTAAAGTTAGTTATCAAGGGCTTCTGTCCTTGCAAATGTTTTCTCCTCACTCTTTTTTTAACAGGCACCTAATTTTCATATGATCTCTTTTCTCATCCCCCCCCACAAAAAAAAATAAAAAACAAACCTAAAAACCTAGTCTCAACACACAACACTATACAGTTTATATTTATATACATGTTGACAAAGTTTCACCATGCTCTTATGATTACCAGGTGATTTATATTCACATTAAATATTAAAAAGCACTGCTTCAGATTTCTTTCCCAACGATTACTTTTCTCTCTATAGTCTCTATTCTCTTCCTTAGTAGTACTTTTCAGTAAAAAGGACGAGATTTCTTTTACTTAGCTGAAAAATCTTTCCTATTACCCTAATAACCTTCATATTGAAGCTCTCTGCCTTTTTCCCACCAGGTGTTTTGATAGAGTCGAGTTGCTCTATACAGGACACAACCTTTGACCAGGCTTCAACCTGGCTTCAATTCTTGATCGATTTAGTGCTTCCTACCCCAATATCCAAGTTTATGTAAAATTTCATGCAATTTTGTAGGCCTTGACATATTCCTTTTACTCTACTTATTCTACTTAGCAGACAAGGCTGGTTGCTCACCTAACATCTCTGTTTCTTTTTTTCCTTGAGCTCAGAAACCTGGTGTTATAAAGAAATCCTTTTCCCAAAATGTAGCCAAAGGTGATCCCATACTCAAATCTGGCAGTAGACCTTGATTAACCTATACTCATTGTGCTAATTCTATTCTGCTTCTTCTAGAAACAATGGGTATATACCTCAATTCTGGAAAAAGAGAAATGTGTGGATTCAAAAAACATTTTATTCACTCACTGTAAAATGCATTTCCATTCCTAGATATTGATGTTCTGTGACACTAAACATGAAACTACGATAATCATATTGGAACCAAAGGAAGAGTCAGACTCTCAAAAATATAGTCAAGAGAGTGAAGATGAAGAGAGAGATGAAACAATCTGGGCCTTGATGCCAAAACTGATATACTTTACCTTGTCGTTGAGAATTGTAACAAGATTTTTACATTTTATAGGGCCTTCCCTTACCTTGTCATATACTATAGTTTTCTGTCCTTTATTAGATTATAAGGTATTTGTGGGTCTTTTTTTTTTACCTCTTAGTATATGTCATAGTGTCTTACACATAGTAGATTTTTAGTACATGCTTGTTGACAAAATAAGAGTCTTAATCTACTTCTGAGTGTAACTTTGCAATACATATAAACTTTTATAAGTTCCTCCTAATTTTAAAATGTAGATGTTTAAACACTGAATAGCATGATGAACTATACCTTGAATTATAGCTCTACTTTGAATGCATTAATTACCCAATTCCAATACTGAGGACAAAATTAGCTTATGTATAGTCCTTTAACAGTGAACGATAACAAAGAAGACATAAAGGTGTTATATTTCAGAGGAAAAGGAGAGCTGCCTAAATAGACAGGGTAATTCCCATGATGGAAAATATCAAATTTGTAAGTTAATTATATTTACTGCACGGAAAACATGTAACATTTCATAATTCATTTCCATTTTTCCTCTTCTATGACTAGCTCATGATTATGGATATAACACCAAATCATAAAATCATACATCTAAGAAAGGATGATGAATTTTTTTTTCTTTACCATTGGCTAATTTCATTAAACTATGCAGAGGTATACGCATATTTGAGATAACATACTCTGCAAGCCCCAGTGCTTCAGAAGCATCCATTTTTGGGTTCAGATCTAATTACATAATTATTAAATTTAAAGCTGGGTTTAGAAACACTGTTAAATAACAATATCTACATTTTTCTAAAACATTGCTTTTAGTTCTCAGGAATGAAAGTCACTGATTAAAATCTCTTCATGCACATTTATTTCCCAGTAAGCCATAGGAGGATTTGGTTTAATGCAAGAAGAGCTGGGTATTTTTTATTTTTTTAATTGTTGTTAAGCCTCTCAATGTCTGGGGCCACCTATTAGCCAATCCTAATTAGAAGCAGTGCCTGATTAAACTGCTCTCTGTAGAACCATTTGAACAACTTCATTAGTGCTTCAGTTTATGCTCATAGAGCAAACCACTTTGCTGAAAGTCTTGACAGCTTAGAAAGAGCCTATTTGGGCACATAGGACATGGGACTCAAAATTGTGCACAGTTGTAAAGTTTTGATTGTGTGAATTATACATGAGGGATGACCAGCAATTTTTGTTTTGAGAATGTTAGCCAATCAGCACAGGTGCAGGAGAAAAAGTCAACTGGGAGAGAGAGAAATCATAATATCTCAGGAAAACAATTTTTGGGCTCTGCCAACTCAACACATGACATTATAAATCTTGGGTGCATGCATTATACTGCTTGAAATTTCTCAGGTAGACTCAGAATTGAAATAAATAAACAAGGGGGGAGTGGTAAGAAAGGGGAAAGAAAACCACAAAGCTCTGCTTGCAAATTATTGCATACACAAGGGACTGTGACAGAGGAGCCTCTGAAAACTTGCCATGTCACTTTGCTGAGGACAAGTAACTTTGCATCAGTTATCTCTCTGTTCTGTCATCTGTTCATTTTATTAAAGCAAAGGGGTTTTTTAATTTCTACTTTCAGTGTAAGTCAAAAATTTCAAATCTTTAGGAGAGAAAGAAGTAATAATATTTATACATGATTAAGACAGTTATAGATTATTATTTTTATGGCAAATAAAAGGAAAATCTTTGGCTAGTATTATAAACCACTGCTACTTGCATTTAGATTTTTAAATAAAAATTTAATAAGGCCAACAAATTAATTTTGATAAAATATATAGTGCAGATTTTAAGGAAAAGACTCACAACAAAAATAAATTTTTCTTCTTTCTGGTCTTCTATTCTTTGTTTACTTAAGGATAGGAAAAACGCTGTTTCCCCTTCCACCATTTTATTATTTAATAGTAGCTTTGATATCAATTCCTATCACCTTCTGGGTTAAAAAACAAATTACATGAGATTAAGAAAATTGAGATCTACTTTAAAAAACATAACCACTCTCCTACCAATGTGGGAAGTAATTCAGTTATTCATGAAGAAAAATGTTCCAGTTCACCATTAAACAAATATGCAATGCTGCCGGCTTAAGGGCAAGAGGAAGCAGGAGGCCAGAAAGGGGAAATTGTATATTTGTCAGGACTGACAGTTTGCTTTATAGTGGACCCACCTCCCCTTTAAGTAATTCCCATTCAGTTTATGGTAGATTGTTATACAATGAGGTCAGGCACAGCAAATCAATTCTGATATGATTGCATTTTAGCCATAGTCATATTTCTCTTGGAAATCTTGTCAGAATCAGCTATTCACTTTATAAGAACATTGATTTCCCTACCCTCACTCTCTTATTCTATTTCATCTTCTATTCAGCAGAGCTTCTCCTTTAAGGAAAATCATGTAGGTCCCAAACAACCTCCCCAAAGAGTGACTACAACCACATAACCACTGTAGTTAATCCTTCTCATTAAGTAAAAACACAGATAAAATTCCACTTCAACAAACAATATTTAAAAAGTTTCCAAGAAAGTTCTATATGCCAGTAGATGTGCCATGATAACAATATTTTGCTTTCATCTATATAATATCTTTGTCATAAACAATATTAACAGTTAAAATGGTTTAACATTGTTTCCTAAGTCCTGTTCTCATTTCAACCAGCACAGCACTTTTTAGATAATACCTAATGGTGGACCACTTCCTAACAAAGAAGAAACAAATGAAGAGCCTTAGGCTAAGGCAGTCTTTGTCAATGCAGAGCATTGGCATTAGAATGTCTGTATTGCCAATGCCTTCCTCCAATTTCTCTCACTGGATTAAACTGTTTGCCTGTTTTCACCTTTGCTACCTCTAACTCTATTGATGTATTGTTTCTGGAATACTAACCTCTGTTGAGTCTCCACTCTATACCTACCATGACTCTTATACTTCTACTTGTTTCTAACCTCCATATTTTCAAACAGTCAAGAAACCTCAAGAACAGAGATCGAATTAAACATACTTCTCCTAGGATCCATTTCTGCCAGGGTCTTCTTTTATCTATTTCTTTTCTATGTAATCCCCAGTCTCAATCTTCTCAATTTCCTATAATATGCTTGGAATATATTCCTGCATTTAAATATGTCTTTGAAAAATACACACACACACCCACACACCCCTTTATTTTATGGCTTTGACCACTGCATAGTATTATTTAGTGGTTGCCCCTCCTACGGGATATAGTTAATTTTGTGTTTACACCATCTTGGCATTAGCCCTCTGGACTACTGTGATAATTAATGCTGTGTATTTTCCTCTTCACATAAAGGCAAATAGGAAAGAGTTGAGGGGAGGGGAAAGCAAACTTAAATTCTGTCCCTTCCCAACCTTCCTTTTCTGGTATTCAGCTCCCTTTTATTCTGAGCTGCCAGTTAGTCCTTCCTCTCCTCCCATTTAAACACCAGAATCCAACTACCTTCTGTTTTTCTAAGATTGTTAAACAGTATATTTTTAGGTTGAAAATTCACAGATCATAGATCTCCTACGGACTTCTATATACACAGAGAGAACAAGAAGCCCACATTTATTCACCTTCATGACAAGATTTAAAATACTGTGTTCTTCTTATAATTTCCTTTGCATAGTAGATTACATTATTGCTTAGCAAATATTCACTCCCTCCCTCCATACCTTGGTCTCCAAAGGGAAAAAAAATTCTCCCCGTCCACTTGAGGTTGGAATTGGCCTTGTGACTTTTTGGTGTAATGGGATGTCAGTGAACATGACGAAGTTTAAAACATGCATATGCCTTTGGGCAGGCATTCTTGGGTTCTGGTATTCTGCCTTGCAAAGAGTTTCCCCCAGATTGCCTCAGCCTCTTCAGTCCCAGCTCCAGAATGAGCACACTGGAGCAGACATAAGCCCAAGCACAGACTTCAAAGCCAAAGCAGCCATCTCCAGAGTCTGAAACAGAGATACACCAGCTGAATCACAGATGTATGAATAAGCAGTAAGTGCTTATTTTGTGCGTCACAGAGATTTTTGCAGTCGTTTGTTATGCAACAAAAACTGATTAACAGAGAATTGGTCCTAGAAGTCTGGTGTTGCCATAATTAAAACCTAAAATATGTGGCAGTAATTCTGAGAACTGGCAAGATGGTAAGAAAATTGTTAAATGAGTTTGAGAACAATAATCTGTATAATGTAGTGGCAAAACATTTGGTAAAATTGACTCTAGCAGTAATATAGAAAAGAAAATATCTATGTACTGAATTGGCTGCATTAAGCTAGAAAGTTTTGAGGCAGTATTTTCAAAGTGTGAAAAGTTGCCAGTAAGTATATTAGCTAAGACACTACAAGAGAACACTCCAAAAGGAACTGACCTGTTGTCAAGTAGAGTTCAGAGGAAATAGAGACAGCCTAGAGTTTATAGAGTTGAAAAACTGAACTGTTTCTAAGTCAAAGATGAAATCAAAATGTGTCTGTAACATTCCTTTTAGACCTCTGAAAGAATTAACCTGACTCTAGTAGTCCCTTCAGCTAGACCAAGGAGCTTCTACAAAGTTGATGTGGGGTTTGACAAAATCAAATGCCCTCAAATTACTAGTAAGTAAATCTAAAGAGAAATACAAATCCAGAAAGAAATTGTGGGTATAGTTTCAGGCAAATAAATTTAATTAGAAATGAATGCATAGAACACATAAATCATTTTTGAGAGAGCTCTATTGGCAAAAGTACAAGCTGCCTAGATTAAAAGAAACTGAGATGGCAGGATGGATTAAAAAAAGACTGGTCCTAAAATATTTAGAGGCAGAAAGAGACTGAAAGCTGTCCATTCACCAATGAATGACATATTCTAAAACTTTATTAAGAAATGACCAGATTCAAAGGTTCTGGAGAGCTTGTAAGATGGCCAAATAGGAACAGATTCAGTCCGCAGCTGCCAGAAAGACCAATGCAGAAGGCGGGTGATTTCTGCATTTCCAACTGAGGTATTCAGTTCATCTCACTGGGACTGGATAGAAAGTGGGTGGATCCCACAGAGACGGGGCAGAAGCAGGGTGGGACATCACCTCACCCAGGAAGTGCAAAGGGCCAGGGAAATCCCTCCCCTAGGCAAGGGAAGCCATGAGGGGCTGTGCTATCTGGCCCAGATACTTTGCTTTTCCCATGTTTTTTGCAAGCCACAGACCAGGAGATTCCCTTGTATGCCTACACACCAGGACCCTGCGTTTCAAGCACAAAACTGGGCAGCTGTTCAGGCAGACACTGAGCCAGCTGCAGTTTTTTTTCAGACCCCATTGGTGCCTGGAAGCCCAGTGAGACAGAACCACTCACTCCCCTGGAAAGGGGGCTGAAGCCAGGGAGCCAAGTGATCTTGCTCCATGGGTCTCACTCCCACAGAGCCCAGCAAGCTAAGAACCAGTGGTTTGAAATTCTCACCGCCAGCATGGCAGTCTGGTCCGCCTGGGACAATAGAGCTTGGTTGGGGGAGGGGCGCCCGCCATTATGGAGGCTTGAGTAGGCGAGTTTCCACTCACAGTGTTAACTCTGACTGTGCGGAACTTACTGCAGGGTGGCAAAGAGTCTGGGACCAGACTGCCTTTCTAGATTCCTCCTCACTGGGCAGGGCATCTCTGAAAGAAAGGCAGCCTCCCCAGTCCAGGGCATATAGAGAAAACTCCCATCTCCCTGGAACAGAGCAACTAGGGGAAGGGGAGGTGGTGGGCACAGCTTCAGCAGATTTAAGCATTTCTGCCTGACAACTCTGAAGCAAGCAGCAGATCCCCTAGCACAGCACTTGAGCTTGGCTAAGGGACAGACTACCTCCTCAAGTGGATCCCTGATCCCCATGCCTCCTGACTGGGAGACACCTCCAACAGACACCTCACACAGGACAGCTCCAGCTGGCATCAGGCAGGTAACCCACTGGGATGAAGCTTCCAGAGGAAGGAGCAGGCAGCAATCTTTGCTGTACTGCAGCCTCTGCTAGTGATACCCAGGCAAACAGCGTCTGGAGTGAACATCCAGCAAACTCCAGCAGACCGGCAGAAGAGGGGCCAGACTGTGAGAAAGAAAACTAACAAAGAGAAAGCAACATAAACATCAACAAAAAAGACCCCCACTCAAAAGCCTCATCCAAAGGCCACCAGCATGTAAGATCAAATGTAGATAAATCCACTAAGATGAGGAAAAACTAGCACAAAAATGTGGAAAATTCCAAAAAACAGAATGCCTCTTCTCCTCCAAATGATTGCAACTCGTCTCCAATTAGGGCACAAAACTGGATGGAGAATTAGTTTGATGAATTGACGGAAGTAGGCTTCAGAAGGTAGTTAATAACAAACACCTCTGAGCTAAAGGAGCATATTCTAACCCAATGCAAGAAAGCTAAGAACCTTGGAAAAAGGCCACAGGAACTGCTAACTAGAATAACCAGTTTAGAGAAGAACATAAATGACCCGATGGAGCTGAAAAACCCAGCAAAAAAACTTTATGAAGCACACACAAGTATCAATAGCTGAATCGACTAAGCAGAAGAAAGGATATAAGAGATTGAATGTCAACTTAAAGAAATAAAGCATGAAAATAAGATTAGAGAAAAAAGAATGAAAACAAACGAACAAAGCCTCCAAGAAATATGGGACTATGTAAAAAGACCAAAGCTAAAATTGATTGGTGTACCTGAAAGTGATGGGGAGAATGGAACCAAGGTGGAAAACACACTTCAGGATATTATCCAGGAGAACTTCCCCAACCTAGCAAGACAGGCCCACATTCAAATTCAGGAAATACAGAGAACAGCACTAAGATTTTCCTTGAGAAGAGCAACCTGAAGACATAATCGTTAGATTCTCCAAGTTTGAAACGAAGGAAAAAATGTTAAGGTCAGCCAAAGAGAAAGGTCAGGTTATCAACAAAGGGAAGCCCATCAGACTAACAGCAGATCTCTCTGCAGAAATCCTACAAGCCAGAAGACAGTGGGGACCAATATTCAACATTCTTAAAGAAAAGAATTTTCAACCCAGAATTTCATATCCAGCCAAACTAAGCTTCATAAGTGAAGGAGAAATAAAATCCTTTACAGACAAGCAAATGCTGAGGGATTTTCTCACCACCAGGCCTGCCTTACAAGACCTCCTGAAGGAAGCACTAAATACGGCAAGGAAAAATCGGTACCAGCCACTGCAAAAACATACCAAAATATAAAGACCAATGACACTGTGAAGAAACTGCATCAACTCATGTGCAAAATAAACAGCTAGCATCATAATGACAGGATCAAATTCACAAATAACAATATTAACTTGAAAAGTAAATGAGCTAAATGCCCCAATTAAAAGACACAGATGGCAAATTGGATAAAGAATCAAGACCCATCAGTGTGCTACATTTAGGAGACCCATCTCACATGCAAAGACACACATAGGCTCAAAATAAAGAGATGGAGGAATACTTACCAAGAAAATGAAAATTTAAAAAAAAAGCAGGGGTTGCAATCCTAGTCTCTGATAAAACAGACTTTAAACCAACAAATATCAAAAAGGCAAATAAAGGCATCACATAATAGTAAAGGGATCAATTCAACAAGAAGCACTAATTATCCTAAATATATGTGCACCCAATACAGGAGCACCCAGATTCATAAAGCAAGTTCTTAGAGACCTACAAAAAGATATAGACTCCCACACAATAATAGTGGGAGACTTTAACACCCCACTGTCAATATTAAACAGATCAACAAGAGAGAAAATTAACAAGGATAGTCAGGACTTGAACTCAGCTCTGGACCAAGCAGACCTAATAGACATCTACAGAATTCTTCATCCTGAATCAACAGAATATACATTATTCTCAGCAACACATAGCACTTTTTCTAAAATTGACCACACGATTGGAAGTAAAACACTCCTCAGCATATGCAAAAGAATGGAAATCATAACAAACAGTCTCTGAGACCACAGTGCAATCAAATTAGAACCCAGGATTAAGAAATTCACTCAAAACTGCACAACTACATGGAAACTGAACAACCTGCTCCTGAATGACTATTGAGTAAATAACAAAATTAAGGCAGAAATAAATAAGTTCTTTAGAACCAATGAGAACAAGGCACAATGTACCAGAATCTCTGGGACACAGTTAAGGCAGTAGGAAGAGGGAAATTTATAGCACTAAATGCCCACTTCAGAAAGCAAGAAAGATTTAAAAGTGACACCCTAACATCACAGGTAAAATAATTAGAGAAGCAAGAGCAAACAAATTCAAAAGCTACCAGAAGACAAGAAATAACTGAGATCAAATCAGAACTGAAGAAGCTAGAGACACAAAACCACCTTCAAAAAAATCAATTAATCCAGGAGCTGGTTTTTCTGGAAAGATTAACAAAAGAGATAGAACACTGGCCAGATTAATAAAGAAAAAAAGAGAGAAGAATCAAATATACAAAATAAAAAATGATAAAGGGGATATCACCAGTGATCCCACAGAAATACAAACTACCATCAGAGAATACTATAAACACCTCCACACAGATAAACTAGAAAATCTAAAAAAAATGGATAAATTCCTGGACACACACACTGCCCCAAGACTAAACCAGGAAGAAGTTGAATCCCTGAATAGACCAATAACAAGTTCTGAAATTGAGGCAGTAATTAATAGCCTACCAACCAAAAACAGCCCAAGACCAGACAGATTCACAGCTGACTTCTACCAGAGGTACAAAGAGGAGCTGGTACTATTCCTTCTGACACTATTCCAAACAATAGAAAAGGTGGGACTCTTCCCTAACTCATTTTATGAGGCCAGCATCATCCTGATACTGAAACCTGGCAGAGACACAACAAAAAAAAAAAAGAAATTTCAGGCCAATAACCCTGATGAACATCGATGTAAAAATCCTCAAGAAAATACTGGCAAACTGAATCCAGCAGCACATCAAAAAGCTTATCCACCATGATCAAGTCTGCTTCATCCATGGGATGCAAGGCTGCTTCAACATATGTAAATCAATAAACGTAATCCATCACATAGACAGAACCAATGACAAAATGACATGATTATCTCAATAGATGCAGAAAAGGCTTTTGATAAAATTCAATACCCCTTCCTGCTAAAAATACTCAATAAACTAGGTGTTGATGGAACATATCTCAAAATAATAAGAGCTATTTATGACAAACCCATAGCCAATATCATACTTAATGGGCAAAAGGTGGAAGCATTCCCTTTGAAAACCGGCACAAGACAAGGATGCCCTCTCTCACCACTCCTATTCTACATGGTATTGGAAGTTCTGGCCAAGGCAATCAGGCAAGAGAAAGAAATAAAGATATTCAAGTAGAAAGACAGGAAGTCAAATTGTCTCTGTTTACAGATGACATGATTGTATATTTAGAAAAACCCATCATCTCAGCCCAAAAACTCCTTAAGCTGATAAACAACTTCAGCAAAGTCTCAGGATATAAAATCAGTGTTCAAAAATCACAAGCATTTCTATACACAAATAATAGACAAACAGAGAGCCAAATCATGAATGAATTCCCATTCCCAATTAATACAAAAAAAAAATCTAGGAATACAACTTACAAGGAACATGAAGGACCTCTTCAAGGAGAATTACAAACCACTGCTCAAGAAAATAAGGGAGGACACAAACAAATGGAAAAGCATCCCATGCTCATGGATAGGAAGAATCAATATTGTGAAAATGGCCATACTGCCCAAAGTAATTTATAGATTCAATGCTATTCCCATCAAGCTACCATTGGCTTTCTTCACAGAACTAGAAAATACTACTTTAAATTTCATATGGAAACAGAAACAAGCCTGTATAGCCAATACAATCCTAAGCAAAAAGAACAAAGCTGGAGAAATCATGCTGTCTGACTTGAAACTATACTACAAGGCTACAGTAATCAAAACAGCATGGTACTGGTACCAAAACTGATATATAGACCAATGGAACAGAACAGAGACCTCAGAAATACCACCACACATCTACAACCACCTGATCTTAGACAAACCGGACAAAAACAAGCAATAGGGAAAGAATTCCTTACTTAATAAATGGTGCTGGGAAAACTGGCCAACCACATGCAGAAAACTGAAACTAGACCCCTTCCTTTCACCTTATACAAAAACTAACTCAAGATGGAGTAAAGACTTACATGTAAAACCCAAAACCATAAAAACCCTAGAAGAAAACCTAGGCAATACCATTCAGGACATAGACATAGGCAAAGACTTCATGAGTAAGACACCAAAAGCAATTGCAATGAAAGCCAAAATTAACAAATGGAATCTAATTAAGCTAAATATCTTTTGCACAGCAAAAGAAACTATCATCAGAGTGAAGAGGCAACCTACAGAATGGGAGAAAATTTTTGCAATCCATCCATCTGACAAAGTTCTAATATTCAGAATCTACAAGGAACCTAAACAAAGTTAAAGAAAAAAATAACCCCATCAAAAAGTGGGAAAAGGATATGAACAGACACTTCTCAAAATAAGATATATATGCCGCCAATAAACATATGAAAAAAACTCATCATCACTGGTCATTAGAGTAATTCAAATCAAAACCAAAATGAGATACCATCTCATGCCACTTAGAATGGCGATCATTAAAAAGTCAGGAAACAATAGATGCTGGAGAGGATGTGGAGAAATAGCAATGCTTTTACACTGTTGATGGGAATGTAAATTAGTTCAACCATTGTGGAAGACAGCGTGGCGATTCCTCAAGGATCTAGGACCAGGAATACCATTTGACCCAGCAATTCTATTACTGAGTATATACCCAAAGAATTATAAATCATTCTACTATAAAGACACATGCACACATATGTTTATTGCAGCACTATTCACAATAGCAAACACTTGAAACCAATCCAAATGCCCATCAGTGATAGACTGGATAAAGAAAATGTGGCACATATGCACCATGGAATACTATGCAGCCATAAAAAAGGTTGAGTTCATGTCCTTTGCAGGGACTTGAATAAAACAGGAAACCGTCATTCTCAGCAAACTAACACAGGAACAGAAAACCAAACACCATACGTTCTCAGTCATAAGTGGGAGTTGAACAATGAAAATACATGGACACAGGGAGGGCAACATCACACACCGGGGCCTGTTGTGGGGTGGGAGGCAAGGGGAGGGAGAGCATTAGGAGAAATACTTAATGCATGCAGGGTTTAAAACCTAGATGACGAGTTGATGGATGCAGCAAACCAACATAGCACATGTATACCTATGTAATAAACTGGCACGTTCTGCACATGTATCCCAGAACTTAAGGTATAATTAAAAAAAAAAAAAGAAATTACCGAGAGAGGATGAAAAATGAAGCTGTGCTCCCACTTCCCCCCAGAAAGTGGACCCAAGAACTGTGGAAAACTGTAAATTGGAAAACCCCTCCCAGGAAGGGAACTGGGGTGTAATCTAGGAAACTCTCCCTTACACTACAGGAGGAGAAGCTTATAAATATTTATCCAGTAGAACTTTAGAATTTGTTTGGATTGGGGAATGCCATAATCTCTCCTTTACAGATTGTAATGTAGTTATCCTGCCTCTGTTCCATCATTTTATGCTGGGTATATGGAGAGCAAATAACTTTTATTTTTACTTCATCAGTTTATAGCTCAAGAGGAGCAAAATCTTGATGTAAATTACAAGATACTAGACTGTAAGTTTGACGTCATGATTGAATAAGACTTTTGAATACGACCTTTTCTGTATCTTCCTTGAAAAGAGGGTATGTGATTTCTCATGAGGAAGAGAAGTAAATATTTGTGGACAATTGGGTATACCATAAAAATTATATTTCTTTCGGAATATATTCATGCCTGACCCCCCTTTCCGCCACGGAAGGAGTGTACTTTTTGCCTAATTGATGTTGGCATAGGTGTACACTTCATTTTGGCCAATGAAATAGTAACAGATGTGATGCAAGGAAAGTTTACGTCTGTGAATTATTGTACTCTACGATCACTATGAGAGGCATTTCCTCTGGGTATCTGTTATTCCTTCACCTGGAATGAAGACACGTGGAAGAAAATTGAACCACATCTGTAACCAGGAATCAAGCTAGGTTGCATCCACAGTCTGAAACACAGCTGCCTTGGCTGAAGTGTATATTCACAACTTAAAGCAAATCCACCCCAAAAGAATAGCAGATGCTGAACAAGAAATAAAGGTTTCTTATTGCACACCACTGAGATGTGGCTGTTTGTTATACTGAGAATCCTGACTGATACTTTTTGTCTATCTGGATTCCAGACTTGCCTAACATCTATCATTCAAATACTTCTCTGATAATTCCCTGTGCTGAAGACACGCATTATTAATTTTTCAATAAAACTTATCTGATTTCTGGCAGAAGTATCTACCTACTCAGGTGCTGTGTTATTTTCACTGTACAGGAAAAGACAAAATAATTAATTTGCTTGTGGAGCTCCTTATATACATTTTGGCTTATTAGCATAATTATCCTTCAATTCTCTAACCTTCTGTATCTCAAACCAAATAAAATGTTCTCAATATAATTACTAAATTTCTACACAATATATACTTCAATGAAATGCTATGTATAATATATAAGATGAAAATCTCTAACAATGACACCTATGGTTCACTATATAGAAAACATACAAAAAGTATTTTTTGAATGTATGACTGAATGATATGATTTAATATGTTTACATTAAATAACTATAAGAACATAGAGGAGGGTATAGATCATATTCAGTGAATGTACCTTTCAGCATATTCAGTATATATTTTCTGTATTTTTATTAAAAATGTGTAATATCATAGGTCTCTACCACATACATATATAAAAACCTGAGTCAATGACTTGGAAAAAAATTTTATGGAAGAACTATAATTTTGCAAATTATGAGTACATTTTATCCTCCTGAAAGGCTCTTAACTTTCAGTGAGGAATATGACTCTTTCATGTAAATTTGTTCTGTCGCTATACAGACCCCTAAACAATAAAGAGTAGAGTCAATGATCTATATGCTCAAATTTTTGAATGCCTGACTTTCTGAATCGGGTGGATCAGATTCATGCACATAGAGTCACAGAGACATGTCAGCTATAGATCTTTGCTCTTGACACAGTGATTGATAGATGCTAGGTTGTGTCTGTTTGAATTTTCACACAGCAGAGTCAAAGGCACTGGAGTTGCTGCATTTTAAGACATTAATGTCTACTTATATTGAATTATTGACATGCAATAG
The DNA here is from genome assembly GCF_000001405.40 of Homo sapiens. NCBI lineage: Eukaryota > Metazoa > Chordata > Mammalia > Primates > Hominidae > Homo > Homo sapiens. The sequence goes on from NC_000006.12 coordinate 115,524,195, forward strand.
GCTGAATTGTCCCCCAAAATTCATATGTGGAAGCCCTAACACCCAATATGATTGTATTTGGAGACAGGGCTCTTAGGAGGGAATTGAGATTAAATGAGGTCAAAGGATAGGATCCTAATCTACTAGGATTAGTGGCCTTAGGAAAAGAGATAGAGAAAGAGCTGCTTCTCTTCAAGCGTGTTCACTAAGGAAAGGTCATGTGAAGATATTGCATAAAGGCAGAGAGACTTGCAAGCCAAGGAAATAGGCCTCACTAGACACTGACTCTACCACCATCTTCATCTTAGATTTACCAGCTTCCAGAATTGTAAGAAAATAAATTGTTGTTGTTTAAGCCACCCAGTCTACTGTTTATTGCTATGGCACCCCTAATTTACTAAGGCACTAATATGAGTAAATTATCACATGAAATTTAAAAAATAATTTTAAGTAGGTTTATTTTATTTAATATTAATAGTTGCTATAAAAGGAAGCCTTTTTAAAAGATACCACTTCAGAAAAGGTTAAGTTAAAAATCCAAGCTTCTAAGAGATGACAATTGCCTTAGACTATTATTTAGAATTATTTATAAACATCTGAAAATGGCAAAACCTAAGAAAGCAAGCTTGATAATATTTGTCTTATAGGAAAGCACTGTATCTGAAGATTAGAAATGCTAGAATCCAATGCTTTTTATCCATATCAAAGGGAGATAGAATCATATTTCCCTAATGTTTCAAGTTTTTTTGAACTGTCAAAATAAGTATTTGAACTAAGTTATTGAATGACTATACCTCCTTTCCTTTGAGTTTGGTTTACTCAATTGGTCAAGAAGTACTTGTGAAGTGTTTACTGTGTGACGGTGTTGCTCCCAGCCCTAGGGATTCAGCAGTGAATAAGATAGGCAAAGTCCCTGCCACGTGGAGTTAACATTGTAAGGAGTTGGAGATAACAATAACCAATGAAAGAAAACTACAGGAATATATAAATAAATAAAACAAAGAATTGTGTATGCTATAAAGAAGATAAAGTCAGTGTGATGAAGCACTTTCTATCCAGTGTATAAAATAAATAATAAAGTAGAATAATTAGAAGAAGGAGGACATGCATCTATCTAAGCAAGTGATGAAAGTGATCAAGGCTTACAGATGGTGAGTAAGTCTGACAGGGATGCCTTCAAGTTGAATAACTGGAGTGTTTTGAGAGCCAGAGTAGGTGAACTGTTGTTTAGAAGACATTGGTCACAGAACTGCTGTTTGAAACTGAGTTTTCAGAAGAGTGGCAATTAATAATAATGACATGATTAAAGGTTTGAACCACAAAGTGGGACTAGTTGTGGGTGAGAAGATTGAGAACTAGAAAATCTTCATTTTATTTTGTTTTTGTGTAGTTTTATGATTCAGACAATGGCAGCATCAGTACCTTATCAATATCTATAGAAATAATAGCAACAAATAAGCAAAATTTCCTAAATTAATTAACAAATTCTAACCTTTAGATAATGGTGTCATTAAGCACAACCTGAAATGAAAACAGAGCAAAGCAGAATGTGAGTAATTTTGGAACAACCAACACCAAAGAAGATAGTAAATAGTGGTAATCTAGAGTAGAGTGAATACCCAGACAACTTATGAATACAAACTAAAGGGTAATGTGGAAAAGGAAAATATGTAGGAAGGAACATGTTATTATTTAATTATTGTTTTGTGTGCATAATAAAACACTTTGTTTTGCACATATTATACAATATTTTATATAAAAGTAGTGATGAGTAGATGCTTGGGATACTAATTATCAGGACCAAAAGAGCTGTACTATGAACATCATCTTATCCAAATTTACCATCTAGGGATGATAACTGCTACTTAAATGCCTGAGATGTAAAGTGTTGCTGTGTGTTTTGTCCTTTGAGAGTCTAAACAAGAAATGCAATGCAGAATAAAGTGACTCAAATATCACAATTGATAATTAGTGAGGTTGATTGAAATATAATAGTGGAATATAATGAATTTATGGATGAAATCTATGTGAGTTTCTAGTGATTATTTCTTAGTTGTAGATTATGAGTAATCTTTATTTTTTCCTTATATTTCTCTCCACTTTATGATGAAATAAGCACTTATAGTGAGCATTTTTCTTATTAGTCAGCCAATAATAATAGATCTGTGTAAAACTTCAATTCCAACATACATTAGTTTATGATTTTCCCACGTGGTTGAATTCAATGAGGATTTCAATTTGTGTAGGATAAAAAATCCCAAATAAGAGGAATTTCTCAGATGCATTGCTCCAGTTCATCAATTGAATTTTTTGTTATTGTTATTTAATAAGTCAATACCCAGTGGACAACATTTTATAGGAAAAACATTTCAATAATAAATCATTTTGCCCTAGAAATTTTGGTGCAAAGAAGATAAAACTGTGTGTGTGCATGTTCTTTTTTTCAAATGCTAAATGATGTACAAATGCTAAGTGATGTAAAATTTGGAACTATGATAGTAAGTTAGATATAGAGTGGTTTCAATTTACCATTTCAACTTTGTTTCTAATTAGAATTCATATTCTCTGGCTCAGTATCTCTTAACACAAACTAAAGCTTATTTGACTTCAATGTTGGCTGATGATATTGGAGGTGTGCCATTAATTTCTTTAAAGAACAAAATAAAATGGTATCTTTAGGATTCAATATGATTATAATTGAAGAAGATATCTACATTTAAACATACTGGAATTAATTTTGCCTGAGCTTAAAAATATTCATATGATCTAATACATTTTGTAGCTTAAATATAATATGGGCTGCATTTAAAAAAATTATTATAATTGGCCATTCTCCAAAAATAATAATAATTGCAGAAAAACTTCATTGCCTTTATGACTTCCTGATTACTTTATTCATGTCCTATTCTTAAACATTCTTTCAACTGCTAATCACTTTGTTAAGAACATTCACATTTTCTTACTTTTGAAGCTTTCTCTATTTGCAGTTTCGCCAAGAGGTTTTTAAGAAAATTATAAAAGTTAAGGCTGGACACAGTGGCTCACGCCTGTAATTTCAGCACTTTGTGAGGCCAAGGCCGGTGAATTTGAGAATTGTGACCTGAGAGAAACTAAGTTGGATATGAGATTCTTAGATTGTCCCATGTTGCCTCCTAGCATCATATGAGGTCTAAAGAAATCAGGCTTTCTGGCTATGTGCTTTTCAAAAGTATTATTATCAACATTTAAGTTCTAAATCTCAGAGCGTATCATACAGTATTGCTGTTTCTGTATCAAATTTTGTGAGAGCTGAACTGCCTTTACTATTTAGAAAAGGCAATTTTGTCATCCACCTAAATATCTTTTTTCACACAGTATTTTTTTCTGGAAACATAAAGAATGTGTCTGTTGATTTTATTTGCATATCTTGCAGAACTATTTCCTCAAATAATATTTATTCTACTTTTTTCTTCCCTGCATTTTTGTGGCTTTTCTCATTTCTCTAATCCTTGTTTATAATTGTGCTTTCAGCCAAGTTCATTGTACTTTTGGAGAAATTTTCCTTTAACTCTGAAATGGTTTTATTATTCTCTTCCATTTCTTCCTGAGATATTTCAGTTCACTTTGGTTCTTTTTTGGGGGAGGGGCATCTCTTTAAACTCTTTCTGATATCTTGTAAAATAAATATGCAAACATACATAGTCTCACAAATACTACACGTCTGTAGAAACCTGCATTCTAAACACTTCCTTTGAGTCCAAAGCTAAAACTTGGCAGATGTTGCTTTTATCTTCCTTTCTTTCCATTTTTTTGTTGTTGTTGTTGTTATTGTCATACGTTTGTACGTGTTTGCTGTGTTTGCTTACTTTCTTTGGTTTAGTTTCATTTGCCATATCTCTGCACTGACCCTGTACTTGTTCCTTTCTAAACTGTGAATGAAGGCATTTAGTCAAAGCCTGAAATCTAGTGAGAGGCATGAGACTCTCCTGAGGACATCTACAATTTCATGTCAGACTTGTCATGATGAACCACAAATCTGCTATGTTCTCTGTCACTGGGTACAGTTCTACACTAAGATTTTGCAGGTGGAGGTTTGTATGCCTCCTTGTGAAGCTCCTTTACTCACAGCTCCTCTGAGTTTTAATCTCCTAATACTATGTCATTTCCTCTCCCACCTTTCAAACATCTTTTTTTTTTTCCTAGCAGGTTCGCTTATTAGAAGGGAAGCTGTTATCCTATGACAAAGGTGTCCCTTGCTACTCTCCACTCCGAAATGTGGAACTGAGCAGCACGAGTGACTGCTACTCTCTGCCTTCCCTTTGATCCCTTCAAACCCTTGGATCTTGTTCTACTAATAAAGGGAACATCAGATAAACCTTTCAGAAATGCAGCATTTACTTTTTTTTTTTTTTTTTTTTTTTTTTTTTTTTTGAGACGGAGTCTCGCTCTGTCGCCCAGGCTGGAGTGCAGTGGCGCGATCTCGGCTCACTGCAAGCTCCGCCTCCCGGGTTCACGCCATTCTCCAGCCTCAGCCTCCCAAGTAGCTGGGACTGCAGGCGCCCGCCACAACGCCCGGCTAAGTTTTTGCATTTTTTTTAGTAGAGACAGGGTTTCACCGTGTTAGCCAGGATGGTCTCGATCTCCTGACCTCGTGATCTGCCTGCCTCCGCCTCCCAAACCATTTACTTTTAAAGATGTATGTATTCTACTTGAGAGTTAGAGAAGTTAGTGTTAAATCTTAACATGCTGTCTTGTTTTGAGTATATTATTATTAGGCAGATGTTATTCATAATTTGTTGTTATCTTTACTGCTACTTAATTACAAACATATGCACTTTTTTTTCTTTCTGTATGTTTCAAGAAAAACAAACAAAAATACCCCAATAACTTTAAATTTATGTTTACATATTTGGACTTTTCCCACTAATCTGATCTCTTCATGTGCCAAAACAGTCACTGCAAAATGCAAATGCTACTACCCATGGCTGTTTGTGAAACCCTCGAAAGAACCACATTTCTAATAGACAAGCACTAACATCTGTAACAAATCTATCATCGTATAATTTATCTCCCCAGCCTCAATTTGCAGTTTAGTCCCATCCTTTCTATGCTTCAAATCCATCAGCCTTTTCTTCTATTCTAATTTTTTCCCATGCCTTTGTGCATGCTGGTGCTTTTAACAGAAGGTGCTTTATCCTATTCAACAACTCTTTACCATATCAAGAGTATCTGTAATTCAGAGATCAGCCACTCCAAAGTTATTTTCTCGGGGAAAGTGTCTGACTTCCCCACTCTACCCTTGTAATATTCTCAAAATTTGCAACTCTTTTCAGAATGCTTATTAGATTTGGGACATACACACCTGTTCATTAAATGAAAAATTTAATGAAAAAAATGAGTGACAGAATACTATGTTAGTAACTATATTTTACCATCTGAAATGGTTGATAAAAGACTTTTAAGTAAATAATATTAAGCAATATTCATTTAACAATTATCCATTAATATTATTTCGATAAAAGTATCCATTGACTAAGATCCCTATTATATTATGTTTTAGTGATTTTACTTTGATTTCTTATAAAATAATTCTTATATAATCTTTTTAAAAATTCAGTAGTTTTGAGGGGAACAGATGGAGTTTGGTTGCACGGAAAAGTTCTTTAGTGCTGATTTCTGAGATTTGGGTGCCTCCTTCACCCGAGCAGTGTACACTGAACCCAATGTGTAGTCTTTTATCCCTCACGCCCCTCCCACTCTTCCCCCTGAGTCTGCAAAGTCTAGTATATAATTTTTATGCCTTTGTATCCTTATAGCTTAGCTCCCACTTATAAGTGAGAACATACAATATTTGGTTTTCCTTTCCTGAGTTACTTCACTTAGAATAATGGTATCCAACTCCATCCACATTGCTGAGAATGCCGTTATTTTGTTCCTTTTTATGGCTTAGTAGTATTCCATGGGGTGTGTGTGTGTGTGTGTGTGTGTGTGTGTGTGTATATTTATTTATATATAAATATATATATTTATTTAAATATATATATAATATTTAATATATATTAAATATTAAATATATTTAATTTATATAATTTATATAATTTAATATATTAACATTTAATATAATAAAATACATTAAAATATATATTTATATATATAAAATATATTTTTATATATATATAAATTACCTAGAGATATATATATATATATATATCACATTTTCTCTATGCACTCATTGGTTGATGGGCATTTGGGCTGGTTCAATATTTTTGCAGTTGCAAATTGTGTTCCTGTAAACATACATGTGCAAGTGTCTTCTTCATATAATGATTTTTTTTCCCTCTGGGTAGATACCCAGTAGTGAGATTGCTGTATCAAATGGTAGTTCTACTTTTAATTGTTTAAGGAATATCCATAGTGTTTTCCATAGTGGTTGTACTAGTTTACATTCCCACCAGCAGTGTAAAAGTGTTCCTTTTTCACCACATCCATGCCAACCAGTGTTATTCTTTTATTGTTTAATTATGGTCATTTTTGCAGTATGGTAGTACCTCATTGTGGTTTTGATTTGCATTCCCCTGATAATTAGTGATGTTGTGTATTTTTTCATATATTCATTGCATATATGTATATCTTCTTTTGATAATTGTCTATTCATGCCCTTTGCCCACTTTTTGATGGGATTATTATTTTTTTTCTTGCTGATTTGTTTGAGTTCCTTGTAGATTCTGGATATTAGTTCTTTGTCAGATGCATAGTTTGCAAAGATTTTCTCCCAGTCTATGGGTTGTCTGTTTACTCTAATTATTTCTTTTGCTGTACAGAAGATTTTGGTTTAATTAGGTCCCATCTATCTATCTTTGTTTTTATTGCATTTGCCTTTGGGTTCTTCATCATGAACTCTTTGCCTAAGCCAATGTCTAGAAAAGTTTTTCTCATGCTATCTTCTAGAATTTTTATGGTTTCAAGTCTTAGATTTAAGTCTTTTATCCACCTGTAGTTGATTTTCATATAAGATGAGAGATGAGGATCCAGCTTCGTTCTTCTACATTTGGCTTGCCAGTCATTCCAGCACCATTTGTTGAATAGGGGTGTCCTTTCCCCATTTTACATTTTTGTTTGCTTTGTCAAAGATCAGTTGGCTGTACATATTTGGCTCTATTTCTGTGTTCTCTATTCTGCTCCATTGGTCTATGTGCCTATTTTTTATGCCAGTACCATGCTGTTTTGGTAACTATAACCTTGTAGTATAGTTTGAAGTTGGGGAATGTGATGCCTTCAGATTTGTTCTTTTTGCTTAGTCTTGCTTTGGCTATGTGAGCTCTTTTTTGGTAAAATACACATTTTAGGATTGTTTCTTCTAGTTTTGTGAGAAATGATGAAGGTATTTTGATGGGATTGCATTGAATTTGTAGATTTCTTTTGACAGTATGGTCATTTTCACAGTATTGATTCTACCCATCCAAGAGCATGAGATGTGTTTCCATTTGTGTGTGTCATCACATACTTTTTATTCCTGTGCTCACCCACTTTTTCTCTCTCTTTGGTTCATCCTGTCATGTATAGATAGATAGATAGATAGATAGATAGATACATACATACATACATACATACATACATACATACATACATACACACACACACATACATACTGATATAGTTTGGCTGTGTCCCCACCCAAATCTCACCTTGAATTGTAAAAAATCCCCATGTATCAAGGGCAGGATCAGGCGGAGATAATTGAATCATGGAGTCAGTTTTCCCCATACTGTTCTCTTGGTAGTGAATAAGTCTTACAAGATCTGATGGTTTTATAAATGGGAGTTCCCCTGCACAAGTTCTCTTGCCTGCCACCATGTAAGATGTTCTTTTGTCTCTCCTTGCCTTCTGCCATGATTGTGAGACCTCCCCAGCCATGTGGAACTGTGAGTTCATTAAACCTCTTTCCTTTATAAATTACCCAGTCTCAGGTATATCTTTATTAGCAGCATGAAAACAGAATAATATACATACTCACATATATATATATGTGTGTGTGTGTGTGTGTGTGTTGTAACCTAAATTGTAATAAATTGGATTATAATTTATTATACAAACATTCATAATTTTTAATTCAATTTAAACTAATTTCACTTATTAAAAACAGTCAATTATTCATTTAATAAATAGCTGTCTTCTTTCCACTCATGTGGTTCCTAGCACATTACCATGCTTTTTAGTAGCAGGAAGAGAGCCTGCCTTCAGAGAAAGCTAGAAAGATCCCAATGGGTCTTGATAACTTTTCCCCTAATGGCTACTACCCTTTAATCCAGCACTCTCTCTTCCTGTGTAGCCAAAACTGCTCTCAGTTCTTGCCAGATTTCTGATAAAACTCTCACAATAAACAATTACATCAGTTAACTGAAAGATTTCTTACTGAAAAATCAATTGTTGGAAGGACAGGACTTTTCTCACTGCAATGGATGGGCTGAATGATGAACACAAAGTGAGGCATAGAAAGGTAGAATGTGGGTCATATATGAGTCTTCCCATCAGTGCATCAGTGCTCAAGCACATTCTTTGGTCCACCAGATGTCCTAGTCTGTTTTCCTGTTCCTTCTTTGTGAGGCAAGGCTCAACCTTACTTTAATCCACTTTTGAATCTCAACCCAACCATGTTTATGACTTTACATACTTACCTAGCATTCTGGTTCCATTCTATTGTTTTCCTTCCTAAGCCATTTCTCAGAAACACTTTGATTTTCTACTCTCTCTCCTGTCTGTTTACCGGACTGGAATTTCTCACACCCCCACCCCCCCACTTTCTACCTGCTAACATATTCATCACTAGATATGCAAATATTAAATCTTTTCTCTCATCAAGATAGCTGGCTTCTTTGAGAAGTAGCCAAAGTTTGTCATATACAAAGTCTTGGGACAGAAAATTAGACAGGTGGGAGGGAATGAGTGGAAGCTCTCCTTTAATATGGATAATTGAGATTTCTACAGAAGAAATGACTTTATTTGAAGTTGGGGAAATACCAAAGAAATTGGTGATTTGGCTTTTTGGATGTATGAGTCAACTTCATTTTCTTTTGGTTTAAATGGAAAAATTTATGCATGTATGCATTTATTTATGGCTTTTAAAAGACTTTATTTTTTAGAGCAGTTGGGTTCACAGCAAAATTGACGAGAAACACAGAATTCCTGTATGCTTTCTGCCCCCACAAATATACAAGCTCCCCTATCAACAGGACCCCTCACCACACTTGTACATTTGTTATAATCAATGAATTTACATTAACACAGCCTTACCTCCAAAAGTTCAACATTTACATTAGTATTCACTAGATGTACAGTCTATGGGTTTTGACAAATGTATAATGGCATGTATCTACCATTTTATTATGGTAGAAAATAGTTTCAGTGCCCTCACAATCTTCTGTGCATGTTTCTTCCAATCCATTGGCAACCATTGTTCTTTTTACTGTCTCCAAAGTTTTGCCTTTTCCAGAATGTCATGTAGTTGGAATCATATAGTATGTAGACATTTAGATTTGGCTTACTTCACTTAGTAATATATATTCGAGATTCCTCCATGTCTTTTAATTGCTTTATAACTCACTTCTTTTTAGCCTTGGGTAATCTTTCATTCTGTGAATGTACCACAATTTATTTATTCATTAATGTACTGAACAATATCTGGGTTGCTTTCATGTTTTTGCAATTATGAATAAAGCTGCCATAACCACCCATGTGCAAGTTTTTGTGTGCACATAAATTTTTAACTCATTTGGGTAAATAGCAAGGAGTGCAAGTGCTGGATCATATAGAAATAGTATATTTACTTTTGTAAAAAACTGCCAAACTGTCTTCCAAAGGGGCTGTACCATTTTGCATTCCCACCAGCAATAAATGAAAGTTACGTTGTGCACATGTACCCTAAAACTTAAAGTATAATAAAAAATAAAAAATAAAAAAAAAAGAAAGTTACTTTTGCTCCATGTTTTCTCTAGAATTTGATGTTGTCAATGTTTAGGATTTTCACCATTCTAATAGGTTTTTAGTGTATCTCATAGTTTAACTGTAAATTCTCTAATGATAGATATATAATGTGGAACATCTTTTCTTTTGCTTATTTGCCATCTGTATGTCTTCTTTGGTGAGCTGTCTCCTCAGGTGTTTTGCCCAGTTTTTAATAAGGTTGTTCCTTTCCCTTTTGTTAAGTTTTTGTTGTTTGTTTCTTTGTTTGTTTGTTTGTTTCCAGACGGGGTCTCACTCTGTTGCCAGGCTACAGTGCAGTGGTGCGATCTCAGCTCACTGCAACCTCCAACTCCGTGGTTCAGCCTCCCGAGTAGCTGGGATTACAGGCACATGCCACCACTCCTAGCTGATTTTTGTATTTTTAGTAGAAACAGGTTTCACCATGTTGGCCAGGATGGTCTCAATCTCCTGATCTCGTGATCTGCCTGCCTTGGCCTCCCAAAGTGCTGGGATTACAGGCGTGAGCCACCGTGCCCAGCCATTGTTAAGTTTAAAGAGGGTTTTTTTTTTTTTTGTATCTTTTAGATAATTTTCCTGTATCTATGTCTTCTGAAAACATTTTCTCCCAGTCTATAGCTTATCTTCTCATTTTCTTCACATTGTCCCTATAGAGAGGTTTGTAATTTTGATGAAGTTTAGCTCACCAATTATTTCTTTCATGTTTCATGCCTTTGGTGTTGTATTTAAAAAGCCATTGTCATGCCCAAGATCATTTAGATTTTCTCCTATTTTATTTTCAGGGGTTTTATAGTTTTGCAGCTTACATTTAGGTCTGTGATTCATATTGAGCTAATTTTTGTGAGAGTGTAAGGTTAGTGTCTAGATTCTTTTTTTTTCTTTTTTGCATTTTGATGTCCAGTTGTTCCAGCACCATTTGTTGAAAAGACTCTCTTTTCTCTATTGTGTTGCTTTTGCTTCTTTGTCAAAGATCAACTGATAATAGTTGTATGGCTCTATTTCTGGGCTCTCTATTCTACTCCACTCATCTATTTGTCTATTCTTTCTCTAATTAGTAACTGTCTTAATTACTGTAGCTGTATAGTAAATGTTAAAGCAGACAATGTCATTCTGAATTTTATTGAGTTGATTATTCTGGGTTATTGGCCTTTCCATGTAAACTTTAGAATCAGTTTGTTGAAATCCACAAAATAAGCTCCTGGAATTTTGATTGAGATTGGATAATCAACTTCATTTTAACTATGGATATTAACTTATACCTAAGGAAAATCTAGTGATGGTGATTCAGATATTACATAATTAGAGAATGAGAGTGGGACATCATTACACTGAAGTAAGAGATACTTTCTAATGATGTTCAACTTCACCATGTAACTGTATATTTGTTCTATCTAGTCATATGTTTAGTTTTGGAAAGGAAAATTGGAAAATAATTCCAGAAAAAGAGTGAACCAAAGACAATACCAAAACTCTCATCCTGTCCTTGGACCCCATCTTTAATTTCAAAAATAACCTGAATTACAGGAGTTTGTTATGCTACATAAAGATTGCTATAACTATTTTAAAATGACTGAATTGGTCATAATTAGACTGACACTAAAATGCAGCCACATTACAACAAGCAGCATATGTATGGAGATATCTTAATGAAGACCAAGAAAAACATTATGAAAATTCAAAGGCAAAAATCCACAATGGATGAATATTAATGTGAAATTTAAATAATAATAGCCTAATAATGAAACCAACATATACCATTAGTCATATTTGTATCTATGCTAATTAAAATATTTCAAAGGTATCATAATTTTTATTGCGAGGAGTAGCTGCAATTTAAGCTTAGTTCTTTTTATTTTCAATAATTAGTCAGCCACTAAGAGTGGCCTTGTTAAACAAAGGGTGCTGCACAGAGGAAATATTTTGTTGCTTTCCTTTTGTTCCCTTTATGAACATAAAACTCCACTTTAGCATATATATTTTCTTGGTTTCTTTTTAAAGGTTTATCACTAAGTATATTTTAGTATTTCAAATCACATACCAAAGAAATCAGCATCTTTTCTTTGTTTAATAAAGTGACTATATTTCATGACAACAGAGCAGCATGCAATTCAAATGCAAAGAACATAAACATGGTCATGTTTTAGAATTTAACTTATGCAAAAGTTACCTCTTTCCACATCAACAAAGAATCATTTTGAAGCAACACAGAAAAAAACTGACTTTCAATTAAGCCTAAAGCATATACAAATCAAGTCTAATTAGTCCAGTCCCCTAAATATGATCTGCAATTATGAGATAAATCTACCCACAGAGATTTGTTAAACCTTATCATTTTTGAACTGAAACTTCAATGAGTCTGCCCTTAGCTGCACCCTGCAGTGACTGGCAAGGTTTTCCTAATCCTTCTGGTTCCTCAGGTGCACTTTCCCAACAAAATTCTATGAAAAAAAATATTCTGTGGTATTATTGGCATTGAGACTAGATTTTGTCAGTTAGCCATTTTGTATTTTCCTGTACTGTGTTTCTGCTTTTCCATTTTCCTAACCAATGACAACTAGAAATGCATGGTGGTGGCTCCATATTTATCTACCAGAGAAATGAGTTTGCTGCTTCTGACATCCAGCTAATGCAATCACAAGGTTGTTCACACAGCATAAAATAGTCATGTAGGAGCAGATCGACATAGCAAAAACTTGGTGCTGAGCATACCCACTATGCTGCATTCCTATTTATACTGGTCCCAGGATGGCCCAGCCTGTGAAAGAAGCATCATCTTGAAGTAATATGCTACCCAGGGAAACAACCTTGAGAAAGAGAGGCACATGCACTCATAGAAATAATAGTTTGTTAGTTCATCTTGTCCCGAATGCACAATCTCCTTAAAACATTGTCAAATGCTTTGTTCATATTTGCTTTCATTGGGCAGGGAATAAGATTCCCTGGATTTTTAACAATGTTACCAAGAAAAAGAATATTTTTTAGTTTCATGCTGTTTTTGTTTCTATTAATAAAGTCATTGAGTTGCACTCAGTTAAATATCACAAATGATTTTTTCCTCTTTAGCAGAAAAAATGGTCCTCCTGCTTCATGTTTAACAAGATATGGGCTTTTAGTTGTTCTACTGGCTGCTGTGATGAAAATTTTTAGATTCATGGATATGCTCATTCTTTGTCCCCTGTGAAATGTTCACTAGGTGAGTAAGAGAAGTTAGGGTCAAAGCAAATTCAGGTGATACATAGGCATATTATGTAGTAACCCTGATTTCACTCATAACATGAGCTTAAAAACCACATATAAGTAAATAGATTGAGAACATGTATATTAATAAAAGCACAAAAAATAATTGGTACACATCCCTTGATAAGGACCCAGCTTTTCTACTTTAGGGTCACACATCTATATTTACTGTGCAAAAATTTGTTAGCCACCCTGGGGTAGCCTTCTTATCTTCTCTGTTGTGTTGTAGATTTTATCTGCATACCAATCTAGCATTTGATTTTTGGGCAAGTAATGCGACACACAGAGGGGCTATTCAACAAATTTAGTTGTTGATAGTGATGATAAGTTAACCAAGGTAATATTAAAGCCTTGCAGACTAATATTTTTATTTCTGTCTCTCATTAACTGGCTAAATGATACATCTGAAGTTCCTGCCATTTTTTTCAGTATACTTAGATCATTACATATTTGACCATCCCTAGATAACCTCAAAGTCTGGGTATAAATTCTGTTCACATTGTGTCCTCCTCTGCCAAAATTGTATTAGTTTAAAAATTGGAACACATAATGGATGTTATAGATGCTAAAGATTTTCATGTCTGCTGTTACCGGTGTATATTGATTGATTCCCTCGGTCTGCTTCACCAGCATTTTAAGTCTGACAACACACAAAAACTTTGGTAGAGAAAAGTGCTTAAGGAACATTCACTCCATAAATTACTAGATTAGAAAAATGAGCACCTTAAAAGTGTGACTTTTTTGTTGAATTTTACAAATATTTTATATCAACTCTGGATTTCAAAATTTATTCATTTAAATTAAAAGTATTTATTGAATAGTATGTATTGTCACTGTGCTAAGCAGTGGAGATACTGAAGATAGCAAATAAAACTAACAGATATTTAGAAAAATGCAAAGTAAAATCTTCATGAAGACAAGGATATAGTTTATTGTTTTGATCATTGTATCTTTGCTTCATACACGACACAATATTTGCTGAATGAGAAATATGTCAGATGTTTTCTTTGATTGTGCTTATTTAGTCTCCACTAATTCTTTATAAGGTCAGCTACGTTCATTCTCATCTACTTGGAAATCAAAGTCTTTCTAATCTGTTCTGCTGTGACTCCCTCAGAATATTTACTCTCCATTTTTTTCTGTCCTCCTAGTTAGCACATGCTGCAAAGCAAAAGAACCTGATTCGACTAACCATATGTGTGGCTCCCTAAATGCATCTTATTCTATTATTCCATTATTGCACATATTTTTCTGTAGAAGACATGCAGACTCAATATTACAAAACTACTAAAATCAATGCATTCGTGGTATATACTTTAAGATGCTACGTGAGTAGAGAAAAGGCAGTGTTTGAGTCTCCCTGGGAAATGGGCAGATAAGACACCACAAAGATATTGAAGTGTATCTGGTAAGTGTGGGAAGAAAATGCTCTTTCACTGGATTATAGCTCAGGCTACCTGTGGGGAGTGCTGGGAGATGAAGTTGGAAAGGTGGGGAAAACCAGTCCATTACATTCCCCTCATACCCTATTAAGGGACTGAACCAAGGGAGTAGCAAAAAGAAGGGAAGCAGGAAACAAATAGAATATTTGTTAGTGTAAGATAGACTCTGCAAGATACGGTGACTGATTACATGTAGTGGGCGAAGCACCTCTAGAGAGGAATCGGAATGTTGCTGAGTTTTCTGGTTAGAGTGGTAGAATGGACAGCACTCAATGATTGCAATAGGAAATTCAGAAGGCGAAGTTATACAGACTGAACTAGGATATATTTCTGACCATGTTGTCCATAGGTAAATATGTCTAGTTTTTACCTGTGGCCTGTTCTGTTCTTACTTACCCCACTTAGGGTTTTATAACTTGTGTATTGGGTGCTGCCTACCAAGACCCATATGTCACTACTTGCAGATTCTAGCTACCATCTTATAGTTTCTACCATTACCCCCATCAGCAAGAACTGCAGCACACACATGCTGTTGCTGTTTGCCTTGTGGTGGTCTTTTTAAAAACATGATTTCCAGGATAAAAATGTTAACAAATGTTAACACTTGTTAACAGGTGAACCAACTTAACCAATTTATTTGTATTTTTTTGCACTGATTTATTGTTTTTTCAAAGATATGAAACTGGAACTCATAATGTAATATTGATGAAGTAATTACCACAAAGAAATAATGGAAGATGGCGCTGACTGAAATATAACCAAAAGGAAAAATAAAGCAATTTGGCGTCTGTGCCAGGTTGAATAGTGTTGCCGTAAAATATATGACTAACCAGAACCTCAGAATGTGACCTTATTAGGAAATACAGTCTTTGCAGATGTAATTACTTTAGTTTAAAAAAGGTCATATTAGATTAAAGCGGGCCCAAATTCAATGACTGGTGTCATTATAGAGAAAACACAGACATAGAGAGGCACACAGGGATAGTGGAAGTAAAAAGTGGAGTGAAATGTTTACAAGCCAAAGAACAGCAAGGATTGCTGCCAATCGCCAGAAACTAGGAAGAAACAAGGAGGAATTTCACCGTAGATCCCTGAGACAATATGGCACTGCTGATACCTTGATTATGGACTTCTCATTTCTAGATCTGTGAGGGAATACATTTCTGCTGTTTTAAGCCATCTAGTTTGTGGTAATTTGTTATGGCATTCCTACAGAACTAATATAATTTATATATCATATATAATATTTGTCCAACCTAATTTCAAAACAGGTTTGACAGAACTGACAATAAAATAACATATAAAATGTAACATTGGACAAAAAGTCAATTAAATGTTAGAATTGTAATTTTGTAGTTCAGTGAAAGATTAGAGATTATCAAATTAAGGAAGAGAATTTGTATTCTGAGTATGAATACACTGGCTATCACTGTTGGACAATAAGCTCCTCCCTACTCTTTCCAGTAACAAGAGATAAACAAGAAAAGCATTGAAGTACAAGTGAAAGACTGAGTATATTGCATAACACATGTTCAATGTAGCTATGTTTTGTTATCAAACAGCAGGACATATTCACCTTTGTCTAGAGAGGTTATATTTTTCTTGGCAATAAATTTTAGAAGAAATCTATTTAGCTTAAGGACAAGCAACCCATACACTTCAATGGCTCTTAGAACTATATAGGACAGAACAATAATTGCTGTTCATGGACATGACCCTGAGTCATCAGGGAAAGGTTCTGTTCAATGTATTATGTTTCATAAGCAGAGACTGTCTAATACATTTATAAAGTGGATATAAGTGAGCCTGAAACAGATGACTGACAGTTACAGTCATGCCCAATGTCAGTGGGAGAAGAATTGGCAATACGACAGAGGACATTCAATGGAATAAGGAGGGGCAGTATGACAGCTGGGTGGGGAGGGTGCAGGGGGCTGCAGATTGATGGAGAAGGGAGAGTCACCAAAAGGACCAAGACTAGAAGTGACTCTTTGCCAGGAAAAAAAAAAAATGTTATAGAGGAGTGAAAGATACTTATCTGTGGCTAGATGATGGGATCAGTAGAGGACAGGGGTGGGGAGTGGCAACAGAGAAAGAGAAAAAGTTTTATTCATTTCCTAGTTGCTTCTGCGAGGTGTGTGAGCAACATCATTATCTACCACTTACCAAGTACTTTCCATGTACCAGCCACTAAGCAAAGCTTTTTTTAAAAAATGTACATATGTCTTTTAATCTTCAAAGCAACCCAGTGAAGTGAACATAATTATACCCATTTTATGGGGTTTGGGAAACTTCTCTCAAACTACATAACTAGTAAATGTCAAGAACAGTATTGGAGGTCAATCTTCATTGTCAACAGAGAGTCTATTCTTAACCATTTCCTTCTAAAGCCAACGCAGGGAGTCAGGCACACAGCTGTGAGGGCCAGAGACATGATATATTTACCTGTGGATGTTGAAAGGTTATACCTGTAACTGAATCCTTAGGGAAGACCACAGAAGTAGAAGGGTCCAGAAAAGACATCTAAGAAAGCTGAACCGGAAAAATGTCCTGCTTATTCAACCACTTAAAGAAATGACAGATATGCTAATGAATGAGATTTTAGTGCATGCGATAGTTTGTATTTCCAAATTTCATGTACTGAATTCTTTTACTATTATATTAGTTTAACATTACTTTCTATTGATTATTTTCCCTAAATTCATGGTTATCTACTTTTTTTTGAGTGGGCCACAGCTGTCCTTTATTTCAGATTCTTTTTTGCCAGAGTCAGGTTATAGATCTAAGGTCAAAGAATTGTACCTACACTGAGCATCAGTAGGTGTTCTAAGAAGGTGGAGACTTCATCTCCAGACACAACTTTAAAATGATGCCGAGAGTTGCAAGTATCAGCCACCCTAGAAAATACTCACGTATTAAGGACTATGTCCAGGAAATTTGGGATGGGTTCTCTGACAAATGTATTACAGGGATGGATGCTCTGACAGATGTATTAGAGAGATTTTTATTAAATATAATTTAGATATGACTTTGTATGATTAGCTATAGATTTCTTCAGGACTTTTATTCCCAGGTTATGGCAAATAAATATTGCATTGCTAAATGAACTGAGTGAAATTACATTGCCATTGAAATATTTATGAATGTATCTTTATAAGCTTACACCCCCATCAATATCAAGAAAAAAACTGATGTCTTGTTTGAAACAAAATCAAAAAGTGACAAAACAACCAAATGCAAATGGTTCTAATCAATATAATTAAGAAATAAAAAAGATAATTAAATGTGGTTCAGATTCTAAAACACTATGACAAAATTTTGTGTGTCTTTCAAATGCTTGAAGTTGTTTGATGGATTTCCCCATGTGGCATAGAAAGTTTAACAAGGTAGACCTCATGGGGTAAAATTTAAGGTATCCTATATTTGTTTAGAGAACAAGTGCATTCATAAATCCTCATTCTTGATAGACAGAATTATATGGCTCAAAGTATTTGGTTTCAGTGTTTATACTGAATGACTTATCCAGGGAATCACTGTGCTCTGTATACATCATACAGTATTGGGCTTACATGGCATGAAGGACAGTCAGTATTTGGGGGGAGGGGGAAGGGTTGAATGACTGGTCCTCCTTGACAGAATGACCTTGTTTAATGCCCTCTGTGCCATTCACTCCTCCATTCTTGATCAGCCAGTTCCATTTATCATTCTAATTAGGCAGCATCTAGCCAGCTCAATCAGCCTCAATTACTTTAGGCCTCATTAGTGACTGACATTCTGTAACAAGTGCATCTTTGAAGGAGCAAGGTCAGATAAAGAAGTTCAGTGCATAGAGAGCAAGCACATTCCTATCTCTACACGAGGCTTTCAATTTTAGTAGGACATTCATAAGATATTCAAACTTTTTATCTCACAGATTATAGCTGTCTGATCAAAAACATTTTGTTTGTATTTAGCATCACCTAAATGCTCTCAAAATTTGATGTCTGAATTTCTGGTCAGAGAATTTAAAACAATGTTATCACCTAAAGTCTACAGGTAATAGTTTTCTAAAATGAAAATTGATTCTTTCATGGTGTTTACCTTTGTTTCATATAAGTGAATCAGCAAAATGAAACAAAAAGAAGAAAAATGCTGTTCAGAATTGGTGATCAATGGATGAGATTTTCAGTTTTCATTTATTTGAGCCTAGAAGAATACATGTAACATGAAATCATTGCATTTGCTAATGCTTATATATTGCCAATATCTGGAGGAATTTTTGTCATATGCTATTTGTAAAATATGGATACATATGGTCAAATTCTAGAAAATAATTTGAAAAAAAGTTAAAATAGTTGGATTATTATAATTTTACTTTGCTTTTGTTGTTTTTAATAGTGTTATATATATTTAAGATTGGCATTTACTAAGGCTTTTAATGTTTTTTATTTCTTAAATGCAAGTCAGGAACACTATACTCAAGGTAATATTTTGTTTATTTTTTAGCCTCAAAATTCTGTAAAGAATCCACATTTTGTTTGGAGAAAAGTTATTGGAACATAAATCAATTCCATTCAATAATCTGTTAATGAATCCCTGCTACAAGCCAAGCACCAGTGATTTAAGTGTGTATGAAACAAAATCTTTGTTTTCTGGAGCACACAGATAAACAAGAAGACCAATACACAGACACATAAACAAATAATTACCATGTAATGTTATCCATACAACAAGAGTGTTAACAGAAAACTGGGGAAGAGACATCTAGCTTTGTCCAAGGTTATGGTGGATGACATCACAAAAGAGGAGGGGTTTACAGAAAATTTCAAAGATACAGAGTTGTTGAAAAGGTGGATAAAGGAAGTGAGAAAGAACCATGAAGAATAGCATTTCCTGTAGGGGAAGAATATAAAGAGGAGAGGAGGAGGATGAATTGTTGACCCAGCTGAAGAACCATGGGACAGAATGGCTGACAAGAAGCTTTGAACAGCAGCCAGACACCAAGACCTTGGATGGGAGAATGAAATGCACATTTCCTGGGCTTTGCCCTCCAGGGTAGACAACCTCATTAATTAGCTACAGAAACCAAGGTCTGAGGTTCCAACTTTGCTCCTCAATCTTTCATCTGTTTTTCCCTGCTTTACCTGCCATCAGGTACTAACCCCTCACTTGTAGGTTTCTTGTTCTGACTTTGAGTCCAGATATTTTATTTGTTCTATATAATTTGACTTAGGGATAAACACTATGATATGACCTCAGCCCAGGCCTTGAATCCCCTGACTATGGTCCTGATGGCTGCCATATGTACAATAGAGGTTCAGATATTCTCTCTTCCCAAGGCCAGCCAAGACGTATTTTTCTGTTTGTACCTGTTATGATGTGTTTAGAGAAAATTATACTTTTCAATGGGACTGTACATTAATTGAATTCAATATTAATAAATAAAATTTAAAACATATTCCACAAATGAGGCTAAATAATATTCAAAGTGTTATTATAAATCCATTATACTGTCTCCATAGAGACACTGCTCATAAACTGTTCCTTTTTCAGCAACTGCAATTTTGTTGTTGTTGCTTTAGGAAAAGTTTTATTATGGTTATAGAACAGAATTGAAGTATATTTGCAAGTTGATATAGAGATATTTTCTGAGAATAAATTCCAAATGTGAGAATTTGCAGAAACTTTCAATTGTCATATAAAAAGAGTTAAAACATACTTTCAGATTTCTTCCAACGAATGAGTTGCAATACGCAATATGCACCCATGGTTAATAGAAAATTATCCTACAATAAGAATCATTTCATGTGACTAAACAAATTCCCAATGAGAAGCTAGGCACATCTAAAAGACGTTGTCTTTTCCAACTATCAAAAGATATCAAATATATAAAAAAAAAGACCTCAATGATTAAGTGTACTAACCTGAATAGCATTGGTTCAATTTAATATTTAAACCTACGTATTTAGAAAATTAAGCTCGGGGAGGCTCCAAGAAGGCTAACTAGAAACAGCTGCGGCAGGAGGCTCCCACCAAGAACAACAAAAACGGAGGGTGTATCCTGCACCATCAACGGAAGTATCCAGGTTCTCTCATTAGGGCTGACTAGGCAGTTGGCATGACCCACAGAGAGCGAGGGAAAGCAGGATGGTGCAACTGCCCACCTGGGAGCCACATGGGGTAAGGGAGCTCCCACCCCCAGCTAAGGGAGGAAGTGAGTGATTGTGCTGTCCTGCCTGGGAAACCATGCTTTTTCATGGATCTGTGCAAGTCGCGGATCAGGATATCACCCTCGTGAGCCCATGCCACCAAGGCATTGGGTCTCAAGCACAGAACTGTACAGATTCTCAGCTGCCACTCGGCTGGATATTGCCTAAGATTACGAGTTCCCGAAGTGGGGGGAAGTGTGGCCATCATTACTGCGGCTGCCTGCTGCTAAAGATGACTGAGCTCTTGTGGGTGAAGGGTGGCTGTCATCACTGCAGCTCCAGCCCGCTATTTTCCCCTGTGGGCGACTGGACGGATTTGACCCAGGAGGAATTTCCCACAGTGCAGCATAGCGGCTGTGGCAGATCGTGGCCAGACTACCTCATTAGGCTGGACCCTGGCCCATCTCTCTTCACTGGGCGAGGCCTCCCTGCAGGAATTTCAGCTACTCCAGCCAGGAATTTAGGGACAGACCACTGATATCCTTGGGACTGAGCCCCTGGAGGCAGAGGTGGCCGCAGTCACCGCAGATCAGCAGACTTAGTCTCCCCCTGCTGGCTCTGAGGAATCCAGGCAGGCCGGAGGAGTGGGATTTTCCACCAGTGCAACGCACCGCCTCTGCCAAGGTGCAGCCACAGTGCTTCATTAAGCAGGTCCTGGATCCTGTACCTCCTGACTGGGTGAGACCCCTCCCAACAGGGGTTGCCAGACACCTTACACAGGAGAGTTCCCGCTGGCATCAGGTCGGTGCCTCTCCGGGACAGAGATCCCAGAGGAAGGAGCAGGCAGCCATGTTTGCTGTTCTGCAGCCTCCACTGGTGACATCTCCAGGTGCAGGAGGGTCCCAGGTGACTAAGTTCTGTAGTGAATCCCCAGCAAACTTCAGCAGCCCTATGGAAGAGGGGCCTGAGTTTTAAAAGAAAAACAAACAAACAGAAAACAACATCAACAAAAAGTCCCCACAAAAACCCCAACCATAGATTAGCAGCCTCAAAGATCGAAGCTAAATAAACTCACAAAGATGAGAAAGAATCAACAAAAAAATGGTGAAACTCAAAAAGTCAGAATGCCTCTTCTCCTCCAAATAATTCCAACACTTCAGCAAGGGCACAGAACTGGGCAGAGGCTAATATTGATGAATCAACAGAAGTAGGCTTCAGAAGGTGGGTAATAATGAACTTTGTTGAACTAAAGAAGCATGTTCTAACCCAATGCAAAGAAGCTAAGAATAATGATAAAACATTGCAGGAGCTGTTAACCAGAATAACCACTTTAGAGACAAACATAAATGACCTGATGGAGCTGAATAACACAACACGAGAACTTCACAATGCAACTATAAGTATCAATAACTGAATAGACCAAGCAGAGGAAAGAATTTCAGAGCTTGAAGACTATCTTTTTGAAATAAGACAGGCCGACATGTTTAGAGAAAAAAGAATGAAAAGAAATGAATAAAATCTCTGACAGCTATGATTATGTAGAAAGGCTGAACTTAAGACTGATTGGGGTACCTGAAAGAGACAGGGAGAACAAACCAAGTTGGAAAACATACTTCAGAATATCATCCAGAAGAACTACCCAACCTAGCAAGACAGCCCAACATTCAAATTCAGGAAATCCAGAGAACCCCAGTAAGATACTCCAAGAGAAGATCAACCTCAAGACACATAATTATCAGATTCTCCAAGGTCAAAATAAAGGAAAAAATACTAACGGCAGCCAGAAAAAAAGGCCAGGCCATCTACAAAGGGAAGCCCATTAGACTAACAGTGGACCTCTCAGCAGAAACTGACCTCTCAGCCAGAAGAGATTGGGTGGACCTCTCAGCCAGAAGAGATTGGGTACCAATATTCAACATTCTTAAAGAAAAGAATTTCCATCCCAGAATTTTATATCTAGCCAAACTAAGCTTCATAGGTGAAGAAGAAATAAAATCCTTTTCAGACAAGCAAATGCTGAGGGAATTTGTCACCACCAGGCCTGCCTTGGAAGAGCTCATGGAGGAAGCATTAATATGGGGAGGGGGGGTGGGTAGGGGAAGAAAAAACCGTCACCAGCCACTGCAAAAACACACTAAAGTAGAAAGACCACTGGCACTATGAAGCAAAGACATCAACAAATCTGCAAAATAACCAGCCAGCATTATGATGACAGGATCAAATTCACACATAATAATGTTAACCTTAAATGTTAATGGGCTAAATGCCCCAATTAAGACACAGAATGGCAAGCTTGAAAAAGAGTCAAAACTCATTGGTGTGCTATATTCCAGAGACCCATCTTATGTGAAAAACACACATAGGCTCAAAATAAAGGGATAGAGGAAAAATTACCAAGCAAATGGAAGGCAGAAAAAAAAAAGGGGCTGCAATCCTACTTTCTGACAAAGCAGACTTTAAACCAACAAAGATCAGAAAAGACAAAGAAGGGCCTTACATATGGTAAAGGGATCAATTCAACAAGAAGAGCTAACTATCCTAAATGTATATGCACCCAATATAGGAGCACCCAGATTCATTAAAAAAAGTCCTTAGAGGCCTACACAGAGACTTAGGCTCCCAGACTTAGGCTCCCACACAACAATAGTGGGAGACTTTAATACCCCACTGTCAATATTAGATCGTCAAGACAGAAAATTAAGAAAGATATTCAGGACTTGAACTCAGCTCTGAATCAAGTCGACCTTATAGACATCTACAGAACTCTCCAGCCCAAATCATCAGAATATACATTCTTCTCAGTGCCAAATGGCACTTATTCTAAAATCGATCACATAATTGGAAGTAAAACACTCCTCAGCAAATGCAAAAGAATTGAAATCATAACAGACGGTCTCTCAGACCACAGCACAAATTAGAACTCAAAGTTAAAAAACTCACTCAAAACCACACAACTACATGAAAATTGCACAACCCGTTCCCGAATTACTCCTGGGTAAATATGAAATTAAGGGAGAAATCAAGAATCTCTTTGAAACCAATACAAACAAAGAGACAACATACCGGACTCTCTTGGACTCAGAAAATGCACCTTTAAGAGGGAAATTGTAAGCACCAAATGCCAACATCAAAAAGCTAGAAAGATCTCAAATCAACACGCTAACATGACAACTAAAAGAACTAGAGAACCAAGAGCAAAAATCCCCAAAGCTGGCAGAAAACAAAAAGTAACCAAGATCAAGGTAGAGCTGAAGGAGATAGAGACATGAACAACCCTTCCAGTGAATCTAGGAGCTGTTTTTCTAGAAAAAATTAATAAAATAGATAGACTGCTAGCTAGATTAATAAAAAAGAAAAAAGAATCAAATAGACACAATAAAAATTATAAATGGATATCAACACTGACCCCACAAAAATACAAACAACCATCTGAGAATACTATAAGCAACTCTATGCAAATAAATTTGAAAATCGAGAAGAAATGGATAAATTCCTGGACACATACATCCTCCAAGACTGAACCACGAAGTTGAATCCCTGAATAGACCAATGAGTTCTGAAATTGAGGCGATAATAAATAGTCCACCAACCAAAAAGAAGCCCTGGACCAGATGGATTTATAGCTGAATTCTACGAGAGGTACAAAGAGAAGCTGGTACCATTTCTTCTGAAATTATTCCGAACAACTGAAAAGGAGGGAATTTTCCCTAACTCATTTTATGAGGCCAGCATCACCCTACTACCAAAACCTGGCAGAGATACAACAACAAGAAAATAATAAAAACTTCAGGCCAATATCCCTGATGAATATCAATGCAAAAATCCTCGATAAAATACTGGCAAACCGAATTCAGCAGCACATCAAAAAGCTTATCTACCCCGATTAAGTCAGCTTCATCCCTAGGATGCAAGGCTGGTTAAACATACGCAAATCAATAAATGTAGTTCACCATATAAACAGAACTAAAGACAAAAACCACATAATTATCTCAATAGATGCAGAAAAGGCCTTCGATAAAATTCAACATTCCTTCATGTTAAAAACTCTGAAGAAACTAGGCATTGAAGGAACATACCTCAAAATAATAACAGCCTATATAACAAACCCACCACCAATATCATACTGAATGGGCAAAAGCTGGAAGCACTCTTCTTGAAAACTGGCACAAGACAAGGATGCTGTCTCTCACCACTCCTATTCAACATACTATTGGAAGTTCTGGTCAGGGCAATCAGGCAAAAGGAAGAAATAAAGCATATTCAAATAGGAAGACAGGAAGTCAAACTTTCTCTCTTTGCAGACGACATGATTCTATATCTAGAAAACCCCATTGTCTCAGCCCAAAAGCTTCTTAAGCTGATAAGCAACTTCAACAAAGTCTCAGAATACACAATCAATGTGCAAATATCACAAGCATTCCTATACACCAACAACAGACAAGCAGAGAGCTAAATCACAAATGATCTCCCATTCACAATTGCTACAAAGAGAATAAAATGCCTAGGAATACAGCTAACAAGGGAAGTGAAGGAGCTCTTCAAGGAGAACTACAAACAACTGCTCAAGAAAATCACAGAGGACACAAACAAATGGAAAAACATTTCATGCTCATGCATAGAAAGAATCATATTGTGAAAATGTCCATACTGCCTGAAGTAATTTATAGATTCAATACTATTCCCATTAAACTACCATTGACATTCTTCACAGAATTAGAAAAAAACTACTTTAAAATTCATATGGAACCAAAAAAACAGCCTGCATAGCCAAGACAATCCTAAGCAAAAAGAACAAAGCTGGAGGCGTCACACTACCCAACTTCAAACGATACTACAAGGCTACAGTAACCAAAACAGCCTGCTACTGGCACAAGAACAGACACATAGACCAATGTAACAGAATAAAGATCTCAGAAATAAGACTGCACATCTACAATCATCTGATCTTTGACAAATCAAACAAAAACAAGCAATGGGGAAAAGTTCCCCTATTTAATAAATAGTGCTGGGAAAATGGCTAACCACATCCAGAAAATTGAAACTGGACCTCTTCTTTACACCTTATACAAAAATTAACTCAAGATGGATTAAAGACTTAAATGTAAAACCCAAAACTATGAAAATCCTGGAAGAAAATCTAGGCAATACCATACAAGACATTGTTACGGGCAAAGATTTCATGACAAAAACATCAAAAGCAATTGCAACAAAAGCAAAAATTGACAAATGGGATATAATTAAACTGAAGAGCTTCTGCAAAGGAAAAGAAACTATCATCAGAGTGAACAGACAACCTACAGAATAGGAGAAAATTTTTGCAATGTATCCATCTGACAAAGGTCTATTATGCAGAATCTACAAGGAACTTAAACAAATTTACAAGAATAAACAAGCAATCCCATTACAAAGTGGGCAAAGGACATGGACACTTCTCAAAAGAAGACATTTATGCAACCAAGAAACATATGAAGAAAAGCTCTACATCACTGATTATTAAAGAAATGCAAATCAAAACCATGATAAGATACCATCTCATGCCAGTCAGAATGGTAATTGTTAAAAAGTCAAGAAACAGCAGATGCTGGGAGGCTGCAGAGAGATAGGAACACTTTTACACTGTTGGTGGGAATGTATATTAGTTCAACCATTGTGCAAGACAGTTTCATGATTCCTCAAATACCTAGAACCAGAAATACCACTTGGCCCAGCAATCCCATTACTGGGTATACACCCAAAGGAATATAATTCATCCTGTTATAAAGACACATGCACATGTATGTTCATTGCAGCACTATTCACAATAGCAAAGAAGACATGGAATCAATCCAAGTGCCCATAAATGATAGACGGGATAAAGAAAATGTGGTACGTATACACCATGGAATACCATGCAGTCATAAAAAGGAACGAGATCATGTCCTTTGCAGGGACATGGATGGAGCTGTAAGCCATTATCCTCAGCAAACTAACGCAGGAACAGAAAACCAAATACCGCATGTTCCCACACATAAGTGGCAGCTGAACAGTGAGAACACATGGACACAGGGAGGGGAACAACACACACTGGGCCCTGTCACGGGGGTGGAGGAAGGAAGAGCATCAGGATAAATAGCTAATGCACGTGGGGCTTAATACCTAGGTGATGGGTTGATAGGTACAGCAAACAATGGCACATGTTTACCTATGTAACAAATCTGCCCGTCCTGCACATGTATCCCAGAACTTAAATTAAAATTAATTTAAATTTTTAAAAAAGAAAATTAAGCTAGGACACATGTTGTTAAACATTTCATATTTTTCAAATAAATAACCAGGCTACTTTGTTATATTATTACACTGAAGAAAATAGAGTGCTTCTACAGATGATATAATCTTTGTTCATTTTATCCCCAACAATTCACGAGCAAGATTTGTGTACTAACAAAGGAGAACAGGTTTTATTTGCAGCCACCTTCTTCTATTGCCTCTTCTCCAATCCTTTTAATTTTCCTAAATTCTGAATCTGTTCTGGGAAAGCATAATTTTCATTGTATCCATTGTTTTCCATCTTCTGCAGGACCTGTGAAGCTTAGCCGCATTCTGCTAAGTTCTTGCTAACCATTACTCAATCTCCATCCTTCATAATGTGACAGTCATTTCTTTGTTTCTGCCATGAATTGATTAATGTGATACCCACTCTTAACCTGTGCTTCTGAGACTGCTTAGTGTGTGTAACCTAGTAAACATCAGATAAAAGCCTACAGTACAGCTCATTTGCAACACTGCGTATGGTCCTGGCTGGGAAAATACACTGGAAGATATCCAGCTGTGTGTATAAATCAATTCCTTTCACACCCATGAAAAGCTGGGTATTCCTGCCAGCTGGAGCTGTTGGCAGACGGAAGGCTGTGTGTGAAAACTTCGACAGTTGTTTGTAATAGTTCTAAAAGATATAAATAGAATTACAGCAAAGAATAGTGAAAAATATTCCTTGTGCACTACTACTCTACTGAAAACCTATGCTTCAAAAAGTGATACATAACAACTTGTAAAGCCACATAGAGAAATTTGGATCTGCTGCAGGATTTCCATTTATCTATTTAATTTGTTTTAGCACTCAATAGGTCTTTATTTTCTTCCATCTATAGAAAGTTTCGTAACCCTTTCTGCATATCTCAAAGATTAAAGTGCAAAGTGAGAATACTAAAAATTTTATTAAGCACAAAGTGCTATGCACAAGCTTGACTATTGACAGCTTAGTTGCCACCACCTGTGTATTACCTGTAGTAGAAGAATAGCCAATATTAAAATTTCCCTGGGTTATGGTGGAGCATTTGTATTTTTGGAAGAATTTTTTAATCCAAATTTCTACTACCATATACTTCTCAATTAAGAACAGAAAAAAACACTACAATATTACAATAAATTCTAAAATGATATGAGCCAATTTTCCAAAAGTACTGAGTGAGCACTACCACATGTCCTTAGTCTTTGTGGGTAGCTCTGAAAGAAGTCTCTGGGTAACATCATGGTTGTTGTTTATACATGCTAAATTCTTTTCTTAGATGTTATTTAAACAATTTTTTAAAAATTTTTATACTTAGAAAAACAAGTGAATCACTATTAACAAAACTAAAATAAGTATCTAATGTATACTTGTTCCATAGTCCAGAGATCCAATAAAGATGGTCATTCAGAATGCTGAAGGAAAACAACCCCAAGAGCAGAGATGGCAAACAAACTTCATCTTTCATACCAGCTGTCATCAATTAATTGTGGCCTCCGAAGCTGTTCATGGAGCAGAATTTTGAGGCCTTACCAAATTCAGCTGGAGAAAATATGGATTTATTACTAATATCTGACAGTAACATGGCCAAGACAGTGTTGAAGATCTCCTGTCTACATATTTTTTAAATATAGTTTCACAGACCAAAGTGAAAGAAATTAAGGTACAGTAGAAATCAGAGATTAAGAAGAAAACAAATTTGAAAATGACACCAGGTACACGTGTTTGTTATTAAAAGTCTGCTGTTGACACTGGCAACAAGAAAAGTAAAGAAAGGCTGGACAAGAAGT
This sequence comes from Homo sapiens, assembly GCF_000001405.40. NCBI lineage: Eukaryota > Metazoa > Chordata > Mammalia > Primates > Hominidae > Homo > Homo sapiens. The sequence goes on from NC_000006.12 coordinate 115,552,993, forward strand.
CAGAAGATATTTTATAAGAAGATATGTTTTTTAAATAGAATTACAAGGTAACCTCAGAGTTTAGATACTGATTAAGCCCCAGAACGAAAATCGTTTGCCCTGTTATAAATGTCTGTGTCATCAGTAATTGACTGATACTAAAGTCAGTTCTCAAATACTTAATAGCTGATTGAAGGGCGTGGGAGATGCCCAAGAATATTTAATTGACTTGCTCTTCAGAGGAGGGCAGTATTAAAAATTAATTTTTAATTATGGTCTGTTATAAAGTCAACCAGACAGAAAATATTGCCAGTATTATCTACAGACATGTCATTATATTCCTGGATTATTGAAGCAGGAAGCCACTAAGAAAAGTCTATTTTTAATTTGGATCAAATATTACTCCAATTTTGGAAGCAATAGCAAGAATAATAATAGCCTGGGAAAATTTAGAGTCCTGAGCCCAAAATACCATGGAAAATCCTACTCAATTGATTCTAGCCTGCCATTCCATTCTCTCTAGCCCATAGAACACCATTGTTTTAGTCAGAGTTCTTCAGAGAAACAGAAGCAATAGCGAGTGTGTGTGTGTGTGTGTGTGTCTGCATACCTACGTGTGTGTGCGTGTGTGTGTGTGTGTAAAGAAACCTATTTTAAGGAGTTGGCTCAGGTGATTAGGGAGGCTGGTAAGTCCAAAACCTATGGGTGGACTTTGCTTTGCTTTACTCAAAGTCTATTGATTTAAATGTTAATCTCATCCAAACACACCCTCAATAAAACATCCATAATCATGTTTGACCACAGTATGTGGCTGTGTCTCAGCCAAGCTGACACATAAAATTAAGCATCACAACCACCAACCGAAGAGAAACGAAGAAACCACAAAAGTAAGTCCAAAGTTTGATATGTCCTTACTATGTGAAAGCATCATGGAAACTTAGAATGTGTCTTCTTTGCTTGAGGATTCAACTAGATTAAGTTCTTCAACTATTTGTTGCACATTATTGAAGATTGTATTCTATAAAAACGAATGCAACAATATCTTCCAGTATCCACTTTTCCATGTGACTTTGTTATTTTCCCATCAAGAGGAGGGGTCTAATTTCCTTATCTTTGAATCTGGGCTTTCCTTGGTGATTCAATTGTAACCCATAGAATTCAGTGGCATAGATTCAGTGGCACTTCCTGACTTCTGAATGTAGGTCAGAAAAAAACAGGACCATTCCCCTTGGTCATTTGAGCACTCACTCTCAAGATGCTTTCCCGTCACAGGTGCCCTGCTGTGAGAAGTCAAAGGAGAGACTAAGCAGGGGCTTAGGTCAGCAGTTGCAGCTAAGTTCATAACCTGAGTTATCCTACCTCAGATTCCAAGCATCTGAGTGCAGATGCCCGAGACCGTTTCAATCCTCAGTCATTCCAGTCACCCTCAGCCATGAGAATCTTCCAAGCTGAGACCCTGGACAACATGCCGCAGAGATAAGCTACCCTCACTATGTTGGCCATAGAATATGTGAGCATAATGAAATAGTTGTCACTTTACACTACTGAATTTGGAGTGTTTTGTTAAATTACATGGATAACCAGACCAGCTGGCAACTGTGTATAGGCAATATACTAGGCACCATGAAGGATAAAAATTTAAATTTGAAAAAGTTATTAATGTTGCATCTAGGAGTTAAAAATATAAATATAAAACTTCAGGAAATAATAAACAGCTCTTTTTTAAAAAATCGAAACAGACCAATTCCTAAGCCCCAAGGGTACATTACACTTGCTAAAAAGTAGCACGCACAGTATCAACATAATGGTAATATAGTTAACATAGTACTTTATTTTAAAAGTAAACAAAAATACAGTTTGTTTGATTTTTGCAACTCGTATCACTGGCTATGTGCCCTCTCTGCTTCTTTGCACATTCTCTTTTGATGTTTTTTTTCTTCATTGAATAAAAGAAAACCCCAAACTGTCAGAGGCAGTGGCTACCCAAGGCCACTGTTAGCACAGGAGTAAGTAAGAGGAGAATCAAAGAGGTTTCTTCTTCTTTCCCAATGCCAGGGAAGTGGGAGAGCAGAAGGCAATCAAGCAGAATATTTCAATAATTCATTTTTCTATTTCATGTCCTTCATCGTCTAATAGAACACAATATTTTTTAAAAAATCTGTACAGAGAGTACCTTGTATTATAAATCTTGTTTCACTAGGTTGTAAACTCCTAAATGACAGGAAGTCTGTCTTTTTTCTCCCCATGTTTTGAATAGTGTCTTATATCCTGACCTCTCAAATATTAAATCAGTCAAGTCTTGGAACAAAGAGTATTCAAAAAATGGTTTTTTTTTTTCATAACATACTGGGTCCTTTTGCTTCCCAGCAAAGATAATGAAAGGTCTTAATCATATTATAGGTGCCAACTTTTCATTTCTCTGGCAAGTGCCTTGGTAGTAAATCCAAATCAAACTCTTATTGCAGCAAAGTTAGGTTGCTAAAATGACCAGAGTAGCAGGTCATCTTAGCCATCTTCCCTCATCTCCCAGAGAGTGGGAGATTGCTCCATAAACCATGTTCCTCGATGCTCATCCAACCCTATTTTAAGTGATGAATATAATGGCCTAATAGCCTTTTCTTTAAGAAGTCTGTCATGTTCTTCAGTCTGGACTTTCAAAGTCTAAAGGACAGAAGCACTCTGAAACCATTCTGACTTTCAAATTTGAGGGGCTAATAAATGTCAAATGCAGGGTCAGAACATATTAAAGTAAATGAAGCAGTTTGGTCACTCTTAAACACAGAGTCAAACATATAGCAGAAGGACAACCTTGTCACTAACAGAAGTGTCTGGATAATTATCTGACCTTTCCTGTAAGACCTTGGAGCATCTTTGCTTGCAGGCATATAGGAAGCTCTCTAAGTAGAAGCCTCTCCTCTACAAAAGAAAAATATGTGTGTGTGTGTGTGTGTGTGTGTGTGTTTGTGTGATCATTTTTTAAGAAGCATAAAAGAAATGGGAATACATGTATGTATACAATACCTGAAAGAAAAAATAGAAAAAAATAAGATGCACTGCTTAAATGGTATCATCTAGTAATACAAAAGAGAAGAAAAATTTATACAAATGAATTGTGTGTATATACATAAAAAAACAAAATTGTGATCTTTAGACTAAAATTGAGAGTGTGTGCTATGCAATATCACATCTGAAAATGCTCAAGTTGTAATCATAACATTTCAATACTAATTAACATTTTTCCTCAACATAAAAGTTTTCACAAATTAAGAGTATTTTGAACAGACGGCATTGTCTAGATAATTTATGGGGTCTGTTAACAAAATGAAATTCAAGGCCCCTTGTTCCAAAATTGGAAAGAAGCTTTCATGTTTCTTCTACAGTTCCTCTCCTAACCTATCATGGTATTTTTTGCTTAGGTTGATTTATCCACCTTTATATAAACAAATTATAAAATGTGCATATATGTAAAATATAATATTTTATGTATTTGTTCAATGTCACACACCCTTGGGCATGGAGATTCTTTCAGGGTAAGTGCAGACCCTGACAAGCACCAGGCATCTCACACTGGGACCCTAACGCTTCCCACACCCAGGTCCTAACCCTCACTCAGGGTAGAAGGTGACAGAGAACCCATCCTGGGGAAAGTCAAGCCCCTGGCACATGCTCCTTCATCTCATCAGATTTCACTTACAAAACACAAATTCAAAAATACAATTATGAAGAATTTTATAACAGTGATTATATTATAGAGCAATAAACTAAAAGCATGGGGTCCTTCGGAGAGTGGGGCCCTGCGTGACTGCATTGGTGATATGCCTGTAAAGCCAGCCCTGCTAACAGGCAACATTTGGAAAATATAGCCTTTAAGCTTACTACGGTATTTAATGCAATTTAATATTATGCCTTATTGGTTCTAAGGTTGTGTTTTCTCTTGCTTGTATTCTGGAGGGTTTTTTTTTTCTACTTTAAGGATTTTTTGTTTAAAGTTTTTAGAAATTTTCTTTTCTAGAATAAACTCACTTAAAAGGATGTGATGACTTTCTAACAGGTCAATTAGGCTAGGTTGAATCCAACTGCCCTTTGTTTATGTTTAGGATTAGAGTAGGCCTCTGGAGAAATTACAATGGGACATTTGGAGGGCAGGTGTGAAGTAGCCACCATTTTGGAGCTCATACACATTGTTGCTTGTCTGTGGCTCATGCTGTTGGTGAAGCAATGGCCAGGCCTCCAACTGACTTAAAGCTCCAACATCTGGCACAAGACAACAGCCATACAGGAGCTGCTTACTCAGGTACCATAATTGAATAAGGACAACTCCCTATAACAAATACACACACACACACACACACACACACACACACACACACACACACACACATTCTGCTTCTCTGACTGAATTCGAACTGGTACAATGGGTTATTAACAAAACAGGAAACATTATGTGATTTGGACGCAGGATAAGTACATTTCCTAGTAATTTTATGGTTTGTATATAAAGACTGAGATAATTTCAAATAAAATTTGAAAAGTGTCCTGTGTCTTATAATCAGGCTTTAAAAATTTTCTGCAGCATTTAGGACCAGATGGTTCTCAATATCCCATCTGCCTTAGTCTCCTCTGTCCCTGTTCTTCAACTCTACCTCATATGAACTCCTTGTGTGCTAGCTATTCTCCAGAATCCTTCCCTCTACAGACCTGCATCTCTTTAATTTAGAAAATGTGCCCCCAGTCATAACAACAAATGCTTTTGCAGTAATATTCTCAGTTGATATCTGCATATGATGTCTTCAATTTCAAATTTTACATGTATGGAGAGTTTGTCTTTTCTAGGACACATAATTTTCCAATGCAATATTCTGCTTCATTAATACCAAAAAACAAGGGAAGACAGTTTTGAAGCCCCATGATATTATGAGAAAAATGAGTTAGTCTCCAAAGAGTTGTGTATTCCAACCATGTCAATAGATATATCAATAGTAAAAGGCCTTTTCTACATCTGCAAAAGATATTTAAACTTTGTGGGACATTTTATTCTTTTTATATATTTCCATTCAATTCCTTCATAAATATAGATTGGGCAGCATTTCATAACTCCAAGAAAAGAGCTCATAAATAAGTCTTTATTGTGAATTATTTTCCAAGAAATATAAAAGTCCCAAGATAATAGGTAATAGGCAGATAGTCAATTTTAATTTACATCTATTCCTTAAGTCATTTTCACTCATTTTGTGTCTGTGTCTCCTCTAAGACACTTTAGTTAGCTCTAGGTGAGCACATAAAACGAAGTTGCTGCTTGTCCTCTGAAAACACTGCAAAAAATGAATTATGAATATTTAGAGTAGCTAGCTGATGCATTTGCATTTTTGTTTGTTTTTATTTTCTGCATTTCAGCAAAGTTACAGGTTCACTTTCAAATTCCAAATTTACTTGCAAATATGAAATTACTTTGTGATTTACAATGTCTTTCTCCAAACTGGTCTTGAGGTCTTTACTTGTGTGGAGCCTAGAGGTCTCATTGTCTTTACATAATGCCTAGAACTTTAGGGAACACCCCTACTTTTTTTCTTAATTAATATGTATAATTTTAACATGAATATTTTAAATAGTGTAAGGTCTCAAAATCTAAATATAACTAGAACACCTTCATTTTCTAGGATCTTTTCACCCTGTCTCAACTTCTAGGAATTTCTGTCCCTACTTTATTATGACCAATTTTGTATGTTAGGTTGCTAGTTTATTGGTATTTCAACATGGTTCACAAAGGAACTGTTACAAATATTTAAAACGTATGTGATAAAAGATACGTAGAAATAAATTTTTATGACCAAATACCATACAAATAATTGTAGGGGTTCATGACAAAAATGTATGTGGTGAAAGATAAGTAAAAATAAATTTCAATAATCAAAAATATATAAATAATTGTAGAGGTTCATGACAAAAGGGGAAAATCACAAATCTTCAAGCAATAAAAACGTGTAAGCAAGGCTGTGGTCACCATTTTTCCAACAGTATAGGCTTAGTTCATGCTTCTGAGTCACATTTTAGTATCTTGGAATATTTCAAACATTTTCATTATTATTTTTATACTGTATCTGTTATAATGATATGTCATCAGTGATCTCTGATATTATTGTAACTGTTTTGGGGTACCACAAACAATGCCCATATGACAGCAAATGTAATTGACAATATGTGTGTTCTGACTACTCCAATGACTGGCTATTCCTCTGTCTTCCTCCTGCTGAGGCTGTTCTGTTTCTTGAGACACAACAACATTGAAATTGGGACAATTAATAACCAGACAATAGTCTCTAAGTTTTCAAGTGAAAGAGTCACACATATCTCACTTTAAAAAAAAGGTTAGAAATTATTAAGCTTAGTGAAAAAGCATGTAAAAACTCAAGGCAGGCCAAAAGCTTGGCCTCTTACACCGGTTAGCCAAGATGTGAATGAAAAAGGAAAGATCCTGAAAGAAATTTAAAGTGCTACTCCAGTGAACACACAAATAATAAGAAAGAAAAACAACCTTATTGCTGATATGGAAAAAGTTTGAGTGGTCTTGATAGAGGATCAGACCAGTAACAACATTCCCTTAAACCAAAGCCTAATTCAGAGCCAGGTCCTGACACCTCAATTCTGTAGACTAAGAGAGATGAGGAAGCTGCAGATGAAAAGTTGGAAGCTAGCAGAGCTTGGCTCATGGTTCAGAGTTTAAGAAAACAAGTCATTTCCATAACATAAAAGTACAAGTTGAAACAGCAAGTGTTCATGTAGAAGCTGCAGTAAGTTATCCTGAAGATCAAGCTAATATCATTGATAAAGGTGGCTACACTAAATAGATTTTCGATGTAGACTAAACATCCTTCTCTTGGAAGAAGATGCCATCTAGGACTGTCATAGCTAGAGAAGGGAAGTCAATACCTGGATTCAAAGCTTTAAAAGATAGGCTGACTCTTTTGTTAGGGGCTAATGCAGCTGCTGACTTTATGTTGAAGCCAATGCTCATTTGCCGTTCCAAAAATCCTCGGGCCCTTACAAATTATGCTACATAGGCTGGGTGTGGTGGCTCACGCCTGTAATCTCAGTACTTTGGGAGGCTGCAGTAGGAGGATCACTTGAGCCCAGGAGTTTGAGACCAGCCTGAGCAACGTAAAACATTGTCTCTACTACAACTAAAAATAAATACATAAGAAAAATAAAAATAAAGAATTATGCTACATCTACTCTGCCTATGCTACATAAATGGAACAACAAGGCCTAGATGACAGCACATCTCTTTACAGTCTGGTATACTAAATCTTCTGAGCCCACTATTGCAACACACTTTTCAGAAAAAAAATATTACTTTCAAAATATTACTGCTCACTGACAATGTACCTAGTCACTCAAGAGCTCTGAAAGATATTTCCAGGGAAATTAACGTTGTTTTCATCCCTGTGAACATAATATCCATTATGCAGCCCATGTTTCAAGGAGTGATTTTGACTTTCAAGTCTTATTATTTTAAAATATATTTCATAAAGATATAGCTACCATAGATAATTATTTTTCTGTTGGATCTGAGCAAAGTAAAATGAAAACCTTGTGGAAAGGATTCACCATTCTAGTTCCATTAAAAACATTTGTGAATCATGGGAAGAGGTCAAAATATAAACATTAACAGAAGTTTGGAAGAAGCTGATTTCAATGCCAATGAATGACTTTGAGGTGTTTAAGATTTTAGTGGATGAAGTAAGTGCACGTGGTGGAAATAGCAAGAGAACTAGACTAGAAGTGGAGTCTGAATATGGGACTAAATTGCTGTAATTTCATGATCAAACTGAAATGGATAAGGAGTTACATTTTATAATTGAGTAAAGTACGTGGTTTCTTGAGATGGAATCTACTCCTGCTGAAGGTTCTGTGAACATGTTTAAATGATTGAAAATATTTCATAAACTTAATTGACAAGGCATCAGCAGACTTTGAGATAATTGACTCCAATTTTTAAAGTAGCTTACTATGGATAAATGCTATACGACAGCAGTGCATGCTACAAAGAAATATTTCATGAAAGTAAGAGTTAATCAATGCAGCACACTTCGTCGTTGTCTTATTTTAAGAAATTGGCACAGACCTTCTACAACCTGATCAGCCAGCAGCCACACAATGGAAAATTATGACTCTGAAGGCTCAGGTGCTTCTTAGCATTTTAGCAATAAAGTATTTTTTAGTTAAGGTATGTACATTAAATTTTAGACATAATGTTATTGCACACTTAATAGAATGTAGTCTAGTATAAACAAACTTTTGTATGTACTTGAAAATCAAAAAAATTATATGATTTGCTTTATTGCAATGTTCACTTTATTGCAGTGGTCTGGAAGTGAATCCACAATATCTCTGAGGTATACCTGCACATTCATACAGTTTCTAAATGAATTCAAAGTGTTTCAGAAACAATTGCTCTTAAATTCCAAGTGGTATTAATTTAGGAGACTTAAGTACTGAATATAATTTTCAAAAGTACAACAAATTCAGAAGTTGTTTCTAGTAGCTTTCTTCAAATAAAATTTAGAGCATAGCCTTCATAAACACCTCAGTGGAAACAAGGCTTCAGGAAACCTGGAGACAGCTATAATTTCCAACAACTAAATTGCTGAGTTTATTTGCAAACATAATGTTTGTATATCAAATGACTAATGTATAAGTATTTTATTCATGCAATTGATGGAAAAACCACCTTCCATGATCTGTAAATAGAAGACCTAGGGGATTCCACACACTTGAAGCTTAACATTTATAAGATATTTCCAAATGCATCCTAAATTCAAACCTGTTGCTTCCATCCGCCTTCAGATAATTTTGTCAGAGCAATTGAGTCATTGAGTATTGTATCTATCACCCAACCTGTAAGTAAACTAAAGTTGGCTGGTTAGGAAAAAATCATATTGCAAGCAATTTTGTAGTGATTTATCCAAAACTATTATAGCCTAAGATTCTTTGAATTAGACTTTCTGCTTAAAAATTGAAGATTAAGTATTTGCATATAAGAAATATTTTATTTTAGATCTTTGAAAAATACTTGTTACCATCCTAGAATGGCTCTCAACATCATAATCACATCTATTTCAAATATATTTTTGGATCATGCAACTTTATATATTTATAACTCTCAATTATTCTTTAAAAACTTCAATTATAAATGTCTGCTTAAAACATAATATGTTTATTTAAAAATCTCCTCCAATGTTTATGTGTGGAAGTATTTTTCATGCTACGCTAACCCACACTTTTCATTTATGTACTCTTATGGCATTTCTAGATCACTGGGCTTTTGTAATTCAATACATGGTGCTCTTGCCCCTGAAGTGAACAGTAAGAAAAGCAGCACTTGCAAAATTAGTTTTCAGTCCATTAAAGTGAGTTCTATGGAAGGTGCTTTCCTGATCATTTGAATCGTGTTCATCGTTTGTTAGTGATGATGCTTGTTTCACACATGATGTCCAGGGCTGTCGCCTCTGACATTGTTAAGTCAGAAAATAACTGAAAGCAGAGTCAGATCAGGGAATCATCTAAAGGAACCCAGACATCCTCTGGCACCCTCTGCATAAAAAACACCAATTTGTATTAACTTGGGAAAAGACTTGGCTAAAAACGATTTTAGTCATTTTTAGGCTGTCACTGTCATTTTTATCTCCCGGAAATCATTTATTAATTATATTAGTTTTTTAAACGCTTGTAATTGATGATATGCACAGAGAAGAAAACATATGAAGTGTTGCATTAAACATATACTCACAATAATGCAGTAAATTATTTTAACTATATATTTTCAAATTTTATGTGACATGTTTGGATAAATTCAGACTAGTCCTCTTAGATCACAATAAAAATGTAAGGCCATGTTAAGAAAGAACAAAGTTATTTTATAATTACAAAGCAATTATGGTAGAAATTTATAGGTTTTGATATTATTATTTATTCAATGCCAACTGAGTACCTAATACTATATTATTTTTATATTATATATAATATTATATTTTAAGCATATAATAACATATTATGTGCAAAGTATAGTTCTAAACAAAGGAGACAAAAGAAGGTAGAGAATATGGGCTCTGCTCCCCAAAGGAGCTAAAAATCTAGCAGCAGAGACAAGGAAAGCACGCTTAAGAAGTAATCTTATAACACAGAGCAATTAACAATTTATTACCAAATAATGAATATAAAATCAGAGTTTCCAAGGTCAGTATAGACTAAACTGATCAATCCTAGGGCGGAAGCCATTCCACATGTTTTGTTCATTCTTGGTAGATTATTGGTATTTCAAGTAGTCAACTAGATAGAGGAAGGTTTGAAGTTCAAGATCCCACTTCCTATGCCCCACATATCAACTCCTTTACCTTCCATATACATAACAAATAGCAAGCTTTCCCTGAAAAATAAAAATAATGGATTTTCAGCCACATTAAACTGAACCTTCAAGTGGGAGCAGAATGTACAATGAATTGAGAGGATATTCTGGGCAGAGGAAATGGTGTGAGCATAGCTCAGAGTCTGTATTCACAAGACCTTATGGAGGGACAAAAATTAGACCAATCTGGTAAGAGCAAAAGATTCACATAGCCAGGAAGTGGGAGAAAGCAGTGAACCAGTAGATTAGGGTCAGGATGCAGAGAGCTATAAACATGTGTCTAAGGAGTGTGGTGTCCATTAAAGGATTATTTTTGAAAGAGGTGTATTGGCATAAATCAACGGAAAAAAAATGTCGAATCTAGAATAAAGCCACACATTTTCAGCCACCTGATCTTGGACAAACTCAACAAAAATATACAATGGGGAAAAAACACCCTATTCAAGAAGTGGTGCTGGGAAAATTGGTTAGCCATATGCAGAAGAATAAAAATGAACCACTACCTCTCACCATATATAAAAATTAACTCAAGATGGATTCAAAACTTAAAATGTAAGTCTTCAAACTATTAAAATACTAGAAGGAAACCTATGAAAAACTTCTGGAAATTGGCCTTCACAAATAATTTGACTAAGACCTCAAAAACAAATGAAGTATAAACAAAAATTGACAATTTGGACTTAATTAAAGAATTCCTGTGCAGCATAAGAAACACTCAACAGAGCAAACAAACAACTTACAGAATGGGAGAAAATATTTGCAAACTATGCATCTGACAAAAAGCTAATATCCAAAACCTATAAGGAACTAAAAAATATCAATAAGAAATAAACATACAATCTCATTAAAATGTAGGCAAAAAACATGAACAAACACTTATCAAAAAAAAGACTTTGGGAGGCTGAGGCGGGAGGATCACAAGGTCAGGAGTTCGAGACCAACCTGGCCAATATGGGGAAACTCCATTTCTATTAAAAATACAAAAATTAGTCGGGCGTGGTGGTGGGTGCCTATAGTCCCAGCTACTCAGGAGGCTGAGGCAGGAGAATCATTTGAACCCAGGAGGCGGAGGTTGCAGTGAGCTGAGATCATGCCACTGCACTCCAGCCTGGGTGACAGAGCGAGACTCTGTCTCAAAAAAAAAAAAAAAGACATACAAGCAGCCAATAAACATATGAAAAATGCTCAACATCACTAATCATCAGAGAAATGCAAATCAAAACTACAGTGAGATATCATCTCACACTAGTTACAATGGCTATTTATTAAAAAGTCAAAAAATAACAGATGTTGGGGAGGATGTGGAGAAAGGCAAACGCTTATACACTGTTGGTGAGAATGTAAATCAGTTCAGCCCCTATAGAAAGCAGTTTGGAGATTTCTCAAAGAGCTAAAAATGGAACCACCCTTGAACTGAGCAATCCTATTACTGGGCATCTACCCAAAGGAAAATAAATCATTATATCAAAAACACACCTGCTCTCATATAGTTATCACTATTCACAATAGTAAAGTCATAGAATCAACCTAGATGCCCACAATGGTGGATTGGATAAAGAAAATGTAGTACATACACACCATGGAATATTACACAGCCATAAAAAAGAATGAAATCATGTTCTTTACAGCAACATGAATGCAGCAAGAGGTCATTATCATAAGTGGACTATTCAAAAACAGAAAATCAATTACTGCATGTTCTCACTTATAAGTGGGAGCTAAACAATAGGTACACACAGACATAAAGATCAAAACAATAGACACTGAGGACTTGAAAAGAGAGGAGGGAGGAGCAGGGGTAAGAGTTGAAAAAAGACCTGTTGTGTACTATGTTCACTATTTCGGTGATGGGTTCAATAGAAGCCCAAATCCCAGCATTATACAGTATATTCAAGTAACAAACCTACACATTTACCCCCAGAATCTAAAATCTAAAAAATACTAAAAATAAAAAAGAGAGTGATGTATTAGGAGAAATTGTCAAATAAAGAAATTGGGGGCTAGAAAGCTAAAGAAGTCATTGCAGAAGTTCAAATAGGAGTTGCTAATAGTGTGAAGTAGGTATATCACTACAGAATGAAAATATAGCTGTGGAACTTACTGAAAGAAAACTAAATAGAAGATTTTTTGGAAGATTTACTTATGGAAAGTTAAGGAGAAAATTTAAAATGTGTTTCTTGAATTTTAAGACCGGGCAGCTAAATGATACTAATCCTGACAGAAAGTGGAAAGTTAATGGGAAGACTCAATTTTCACAAGGTGATAGCACATTGGAATATAGTTCTGCTTGCATTTAAAGTCAAAAATTAAAAAAAAAACTGAAATGAAAATACCTATACACAACTGGACAGCAAACTGAAGAGAAAGATTTCTCAGTCCGTAAGATGTATATTTGTGAACCCTGTAGTATGAAATCATCATAAACGAACCCATGGGCATTCATAACATCTTAGAGAGCATGAAAAGAATTATCTCCCTTGACTGAATCTAGGAGTATGACTGACTTTACTGGCACACAGAAGTCATTATTTATTGCAAATAAGAAGTCTTTCAATTTCTACTATAAACCTCATCATGAAAACCTCATCATGAATATAATCTCCCACAATAGCAACTGGAAATACCTAAGATCTCAACATAAAAAGTTTCATAATTTAGAATAAAGTCAGGCAATAGGTAATAAAAGCAACAACAACAAAAAAGCCCTGGAGTAGATGAATTCACAGTTGATTCTCTCTGATGTACAAAGAAGAGCTAGTACCCATCCTACTGAAATTACTCCAAAAATTGAGGAGGAGAGACTCCTCACCTCACTAACTCATTCTATGAAGCCAGTATCATTCTCATAACGAAACCCAAAAGAGACACAACAAAGAGAGAAAATTTCCAGCCAATATCCCTGATGAATATAGATGCAAAAATCCTCAGCAAAATACTAGCAAACTGAATCCAGCAGCACATAAAAAAGTTAATTCACCATGATCAAGCAGGCTTTCTTCCTCGGATGCGAGGTTGGTTCAACATATGCAAATCAATAAATGTGATTCACCAAATAAGCAGAATTTAAAAAAAACATAATTATATCAATAGAAGCAGAAAAGGCTTTTGACACATTCAACATCCCTTCATATTAAAAACCTTCAACAAATTAGGCACCAAAGGAACATACCTCAAAATCATAAGAGCCATCTATGACAAACCCACAGCCAACATCTTACTGAATGAGCAAAGGCTGGAAGCATTCCTCTTGAAGACTGGAACCACTCCGTCCACTCTGACCATATCTATTCAACATAGTACTAGAAGTCTCAGCCAGAGAAATCAGGCAAGAGAAAGAAATAATAGGAATCCAAATAGAAAGAGAGGAAGTCAAACTATCTCTTTTCACAGACAATATGATTCTATACCTAGAAAACCCCATAGACTCTGCTAGAAGGCTCCTAGAACTGATAAGTGACTTCAGTAAAGTTTCAGAATATAAAATCAACATACACAAATCAGTAGCATTTTTATACAATAATGTCCAAGCTGAGAGGCACATCAAAAATGCAATGCCACTTACAATAGCCACAAAAAGAATAAAATACCTAGGAATACAGCATACCAAGGAGGTGAAAGTTCTCTATGATGAGAATTTTAAAACACTGCTGAAAGAAATCAGAGAAAACACAAACAAATGGAAAGACATTCCATGCTCATGGATAGGAAGAATCAATGTGTTAAAATGGCCATACTGCTCAAAGCAATTTACAGATTTTATGCTATTTCTATCAAACTGCCAATGTCATTTTTCACAGACAGAAAAAAAAACTATTCTGAAATTTCTATGAAACCAACTCAGAGTGCAAGTCATCAAGGCAATCCAAAGCAAAAAGAACAAAGCCAGAGGCATCACACTCCCCAACTTCAAACTATACAACAAGGCTGCATTAACCAAAACAGTATACAAAAACAGATAAAAAACAGACCTAATGATACCATATCAGACACATAGACCAAAAGAACCTAATAGAGAACCAAGAAATAAAGCTACACATCCACAACCACTGGATCTTTGACAAAGTTGACAATAACAAACAATGGGGAAAGGACTCCCTATTCAATTAATGGTGCTGGGATAACTGGCTAGCCATATGCAGAAGACTGAAATTAGACTACTTTCTTACACCATACTCATAAATTACCTCAAGATGAATTAAAAACTTAAGTGTAAGACCTACAACAATAAAAACTCCAGAAGAAAACCTACGAAATACTGTTCTGGACATCAGCCTTGGCAAAAAATTTATGACTAAGATCTCAAAAGCAATTGCAACAAAAACAAAATTGACAAGTGGGACCTAATTCGACTAAAGAGTTTTTGCAAAGCCTAAGAAACAATCAACAGAATATGAGAAAATATTCACAAACTATGCATCCAACAAAGGTCTAATATCCAGAATCTATAAGGAACTTAAACAATTCAGCAAATAAAAAACAACCTCATTAAAAATGAGAAAAGGACATAAATAGACACTTCTCAAAAGAAGACATACATGTGACCAACAAATATATATTTTTAAATGTTTATTATTACTAACCATTAGAGAAATGGAAATCAAAACCACAATGAGAGACCATCTCACACCAGTCAGAATGATGATTATTAAAAAGTCAAAAAAACAACAACAGATGCTAGTGGGGTTACAGAGAAAGGAGGACACTTATAGGCTGCTGGTGGGAAGGTAAATTAGTTCAGCCTCTGTGGAAAGCAGTGTAGTGATTTCTCAAAGAATTCAAAACAGAACTAACATTCACTCCAACAATCCCACTACTAGGCACGAGCCCAGAGAAAAATAAATCATTCTACCAGAAAGACATATGCACACATATGTTTATCATAGCACTATTCACAATAGCAAAAACATGCAGTCAATTAAGATGCCTGTTGATAGTGGACTGGATAAAGAAAATGTGGTTCATATAAACTGTGGAATACTATGAGGCCATAAAAAATGAAATCATGTCCTTTGAAGCAACATGGACATAGCTGGAGGCCATCATCCTAAATGAATTAATGCAGAAACAGAAAACCAAATATCATATGTTCTCACTTATTAATGGGACTAAACATTAAATACACAGGGACACAAAGATGGGAAGAGTAGACACTGGGGACTGCTCCGGGGGGAGGGTGGGAGAGGGGTGTGGGTTGAAAGGCTGCTACCTATCAGGTACTATGCTCACTGCCTGGGTGACAGGATCATTCGTACATCAAGCCTCAGTGACATGTAATTTACCCATGTAGTAAACCTACACATGCACCCCTTGAACCTAAAATTAAAATGAAGGAAAAAAATACAGTCATTTTAATTGTAAAAGTGTCTTTTTAATCATAAAATTTTAGTTGCAAGGTTATTAATATAACTGATCCAAACCCATATTTTGTAAATGAGAAAACTAAAGTCTGTGGTTAGATTATTTCAAAAGATAACCTTAACTATACCGTCCATCCTTACCTACGCTTTTGCAATTTGCCACACTTATCAAGAAACAGAGTGCATTTTTCTTTCCCTTGGATACTGGCTTCCCTGTAAATTGTTTTGACCAAGAGAATGTGGTTGAAGTATTGCTGTGTGCCATCTAGATCTAAGCTTTCAGAGACTTTGAAGCATTCATTTATGTTGTGTTGGGACTCAGCTGCCATGCTGTAAGACAACTAGTCTAGCCTGAATGGGGAAAACAAGATCTCTCAATAACCAGTATGTGAATGTAGTTATTTTGGACAGTCCTGTGTCAGCTGTTCAACTGAGCCCAGATAAGACCAGCAGAAGAACCACCATGCTAAGCACAAGCTATCCACAATATTGAGGGAAATATTCAATGATTGTTTAAGTTACAAGTCTTGGGGATGGTTCATTATGCATTCTTTGATAGCTGATATAAACTCAGACCACACTGCTATATTTGATTATTGTTGTAGTCATTATTAAACTTATTCTACATGACCCTTTCCATTAGATTGCACTATCTTAAGAAATCTGTAACCGATTTTACCTTCAGGGGGCCTCCCTATTCTAGAGAGCACATTATTAAAATACAAACTAACAACTTTATAAATTTGACATACCTAAAGCAAATATACCAGGCATACGGAGCACAAAATTTCTAATGTTACATGTTTATTACTATTATTATTATTATACTTTAAGTTTTAGGGTACATGTGCACAATGTGCAGGTTTGTTACATATGTATACATGTGCCATGTTGGTTTTCTGCACCCATTAACTCATCATTTACATTAGGTATTTCTCCTAATGCTATCCCTCCCCCATTCCCCCACCCCACGACAGGCCCCAGTGTGTGATGTTCCCCGCCCTATGTCCAAGTGTTCTCATTGTTCAATTCCCACCTACGAGTGAGAACATGTGGTGTTTGATTTTCTGTCCTTGTGATAGTTTGCTCACAATGGTTTCCAGCTTCATCCATGTCCCTACAAAGGACATGAACTCATCCTTTTTCATGGCTGCACAGTATTCCATGGTGTATATGTGCCACATTTTCTTAATCCAGTCTATCATTGATGGACATTTGGGTTAGTTTCAAGTCTTTGCTATTGTGAATAGTGCCGCAACAAACATACGTGTGCATGTGTCTTTATAGTAGCATGATTTATAATCCTTTGGGTATATACCCAGCAATCCCATTACTGGGTCAAATGGTATTTCTAGTTCTTGTTTTTGTACAATGTTACATGTTTTTGTACAACCTACAAGTTTTATGTATTCGTATGGCCTTTGGTCCATGTCTCTTTAATAACCTAAGTTGGAAGTTTGAATTGATACCCTCTTTTATTATTGATACATTTTCCTTTAGTGAACAACACATTCTTTTCAAAGATAGTCTTCACTGTATCATAGTATTTGAAGGCATTATAAAAGACTGAGTGAAGTTTTTGAAAGAAAAAGTCTAGGGTTTCTGGTACCCTTTTTAATGTTTTATTGGGTGCTCTTTTTAGCCTCTGCTTTTTTCACTTTCCTTCTGCTCTCCCCTCCTCACTTCTTCCTGTATACACTTCAAAGAGAAAATAAAGGAGAAAATAAGTCACAAACGAACAGCTGGAAGGATGTGGTCAGCATTCACATACAAGAGACAGTCAAATTCCTCAGCCTCAGAAGGAATGTGTTTATTATAGAGAACATTCAGGCCTTTATTTTATCCAAACTCCATCTAACAGAGTCTTCTCCCTCCTTGCTATTGCCTCTGAAACCCTCTGCCCAAAAAGATTCCTCTGTGGCAAGTGAGTGAGTAAAGTTTTCCAGAAATAATGTATTGATTTAAACGATGCTGCTAAACAGTAGAGGATCAGACCTTGCTTAATTCATCACAATATTATGATAGCTTTCTTCATTTAAAAAAGTCAGTGCACACCTAAACATGAAAATAAGTCATTTTATTTGTGACATAATGCATCGTTGCTCATGTCACAGGGAGAATTGAAGTGCAGGATGAGTAGGACAATGGGGAAGTGATGAATGCTTAATTGGGTCCATTAAACATAACATAATGTTTTATAAAATTTAAATTTTTGTAATGGCAGGATACAACACAATGTCACACACACAGAAAAAAAGGCAGAACTCCTTGTTATTTGGAACTCCAAAGGAGAGAAGTCTGCTACATTAGGCCATAGAATTTTGCATCCAGGGACAGGATTAACAGCAAGCAGGGATGACAGTGGCAACTTATGTATGGCAAGTCGGCTGGGGTGAGGTTTCTTGGGGATGCCTATAGATTGGCTAATTTTAATTCTCCAGCTCCAAAGCACAGAGTCTGCCCCCAGTTGTCTGGTACCTGGACCCTAGGCAATTAGGGTTTTGCATAGTGGACTCTGAGTGTGAGAGTTCATAAAGGAAGTGGCTGGAATATGAACTTAAAATCAGCCATTGTAGAAGGGGAACTGACCAGCCTCCAGTGAGGCTTTCAAAACTGGGTAAAACCAACATTTTAAGAAAAGAACATATTAAACAATCATTACCTTTTTTTTAACTATGACCTGATGGATATAATTTAAATTCTATAGAACAAATGCTCTGTTTTTCCTGTATTTTTATTTCCTCATCCTTCTGGATTGCAATGGATGTGAAGGAATCTTCCTTAATTTGGGAACACTGGAGAAAAGACTTCCAATCCTCCTGACCCATGAGGTGCCTCCTGCAGCTTAGCCTCTGCATGTTGGTCTCTGTCTTTGCTGGATTCACAGCTGTGACAACTCCTGGTCCATTCTTGGTACTGCCAAAGCCAATTGTCTCAAGGCTCTGAACTTCAACTGCACACTTCCCCTCGCCAAATTTTGTTAAGTCCTGGGTATTAAGGCATCTACCTTGTAGTTGGGCAATAGTTCTCAAACTGGGCTTTAGATTTTCATCACCAGAGGCATTTCGAAAAATGATTCCCTGACCCCACCCAAGATAATAAAATTAGAATCTCTTTGTGGGGTGGGGCCTAAGACTTTAATATACACACAGGAATGACATTATTGCACCTAAGTGGCTCTGATAGAAACAAGGTACATACTTCTCAGCTACTATATGTGCCCTTCCCTGGGGTCCATAGGTAAATGCTCAGGTTTTCTACCTTGCCAGCATCGATACAGACCAAAAGAGAGGCGAGGTGGAAGGAGAAGGCATGTACACCATCTCATTATGTAAGCTATCAAGCTACACCATCTCATTATGTAAACTTTCAAGCTACGAGTTCTACTCACCCGGCGGGAATGAGGGAAGTTGATCAAGAGGGAATTCTTGGAGCTTTCATGCTCAGGGAATGCACATTACCCATGGCTCACCTC
The DNA here is from genome assembly GCF_000001405.40 of Homo sapiens. Classification (NCBI taxonomy): domain Eukaryota; kingdom Metazoa; phylum Chordata; class Mammalia; order Primates; family Hominidae; genus Homo; species Homo sapiens. Next base: position 115,572,206 of record NC_000006.12, read on the forward strand.
AACTGTGTACCTGGGAACTGAATTCTACCATCTTCAATTTCATTCTCCTCCCATGCAAACCAGATTAAAGCTCGTAATAGACATCCCATGGGCTTAACAACTAAGACATAACACTCTACAAGGCTTCATAAAAAGCCTGAGTGTCCCCATGTACCAAGAGACTGTTGGAATTGATTCCCCTAAAACTTCGTATCTAAATTTCAGTGCTATGTTAAATAGCAATGCTGAGAATAAAAATATTTGCCTTGTTCCCTGTCTTAAGGATAAATCATTCAGTCTTTCACCATTAAGTATAATGTTGGCTATAGTGTTTTTAAAAATAGATGTCTTTTAACAAGTTGAGGATATTCTCCTCGATTCCTAGTTTTCTGAGAGTTTTGGGTTTTTCTTCCTTATATTTTAATAACTTTCCTTTGACTATATGTAATAATTGATTACATTTTTTTCCTCTTTTATAATGGGGAAGCCTGATTTATTTATTTATTTATTTATTTATTGAGACAGAGTTTTGTTCTTGATGCCCAGGCTGAAGTGCAATGGTGTATCTCGGCTCATGACAGCCTCCGCCTCGCACGTTCAAGCGATTCTCCTGCCTCAGCCTCCCAAGCAGCTGGGATTACAGGTGCCCACCACCACGCCTGGCTAATTTTTGTATTTTCAGTAGAGACGGGGTGTCACCATGTTGGCCAGGCTAGTCTCAAACTCCTGGCCTCAGGTGATCTACCCACCTCGGCCTCCCAAAGTGCTGGGATTACAGGCATGAGCCACCACACCCAGCCATCCTTATGATATTTACAAGTAGGAATACGCATTTAGGACATTGTTTCTTGGCTTCCTAAAAGTTTGCCTCCCAAAAACCTTACCTATATTTACCTTGTTGCCAGCAATACCTACTTAGAGTGTCCCATTGGGTTTAAAATACTTTGACCCTCTGATGGCTGTTATTATTATGCACTTATGTTGTCTGAAATGACAAATGTATGAATCAATGAATGACATTAAATGCATGACCATGAATTTGTTAGTTAACATGAACAGATCTTGAAATTTAAAAAGATAGTAGAAAAGTAATTATTGATGAGAGAGGTCTAGGATAACTGTAGAGGAAAATGAGGGACTATTCCTTACCCAAAATGCTTGGAACCAACAGTACTCCGGATTGCTAATTTTTTCAGATTTTGTAATATTAGCATTTTACTTACAAGTTCAACATCCCTGATCTGAAAATCTGAAATTGGGAATGCTCCAATGAGCATTTCCTTTGAGGGACAGGTTGGTGCTCAAAAAGTTAGAATTTTGAAGCATTACAAACTTCATATTTTTGGATTCACAATGCTCAATCTATATTTTGAGATTGCCAGAACCCTGAAAAAGAAGAATTGAAAGGTAGAGAACTTGTGCTGAGTGAAGGAGAAGTCAACTGAGAGAGGAAAGTATGCCATTCAGTTACTCTCTGACTTTGCCTGGGCCATCTGAGTTCAATCCTTCCCTGGGTAACTCTAGACTGTGCAACACAAAGACAGTGAACTCTAATACATGTGTTTATATTTATTTCTTTATATTAAATATTTAGGTCTTTATTTTATTCATCTATATAACTTAAGCTATTATTTACTAATTTTCAGTTTTATTCTCAATGCTGAGTATATTTCCCTTTTAAATGTCACTTCACAATCCAGAATGAATTTAAAAAAATCCAGGACAGCCATGTCATCACAGCATGTTAAAGAAAAGGTGTTTCCAGGACCCAACCATGTGGCCTGACTGTATAAGCAACAGTAATTGAATGTATTAAATATTTTGATCCTAACTCATTTGGCAATGCTCCTATAAACTCAGCCCAAATCTCCTGGAGAGTAATGCATGCTAATGAAACCAAAGAGGCGGAGGCTGAATGAAAATAAGTGCTATAAATACTGGATGCTTGTGATTAAACATTCTGAAATATGCCAGGAAGATTTAAGTCCCACTAATTATTAGAAGCTTGGACCAAATGAGGTATATGTTCAGTTATGACTTGACTTAGAGAGTAGTTTGTTATTATACCGAGTTCAATAGCTTTAAAAATAGATATGTTTGGCCTCTAATGATTCACTTGGTATTTTGCTGAATAAACTTCCACTTGTTTGTTAATTTAGGTACAGAAAATAACTGCCTGGAATTAATTTGGTGTTCAGTAAAATGGTATTATTTGTTTGTGTTTTTAAAAATAGCTTACCTCTAAGTAGTCTTTCTAGCCTAATCATAGAAGTTAAACCTTATAAGTTAATTATCAGGAAAGAAGATATCTTAAAAATAGTTTATAGTCTAGAAGAAGACCATGCTATGGGAGGTGTAATGATTTTTGAGGGCTCATAGAGAAATATTTAGGAAACTTTGGAGCACAGAGTAAAATATAACAGGAAGAACTAATTCATGAGTAAGAAAAGTCTTACTTCCTGGACTAATCTGTTGAGTGAGTATGAACTTTTCAGATACATCACAGACTGGTGTTAGAAGGGCATAAGTGTTCTCCACACTGCATCCCTGCTTCATAACCCTTACAAACCTGGGATCAAAGAAGCCTGCACTCCATCACTGCTTTCTCTCTAAGCATGCCACAGCTAATTTATTCACAGTACAGGATACCTTCAGAGAAGTGTACATATTTCATAAGCCCATACTACTAAAATGATGCTAATACAATCTGTACATTTAATCAATAGACATATTCACCACCTACTATGAAGTAAGCACCATGCTTAGGACAAAAGATTATTTTTATATATTTATCTAGCCCCTACCCTCAAAGAGCTTCCTATTCTCTTATAGTAAGAGATTACTAGATTATATTTTCTATGTAATTCCTATTACTAGAATAGTAACTATACACAAATAATATAATTATAAATATTTCAATAAAGTATATACATAGATATATACATACACATATATAAATAAAAGAATTTCAAAAGAAAAGGAAAATTTATCTTTTCAATAACCTCTATATGAATGAATTAATGAATATCTCTAGATGTCATTTTTCTTTAATTATTAAAGTACAGTGATTATCTTCTCTCTTTTATGCATTCTTTTACTGGAGAATGAGCCAAAACCATAATCCCCAATAGCCTGTAGCACAGTTCATGGATTGGTTATCACTATGGTCTCCTCATAAAAACTGTCTTTTGATAAGTAGTTTGGGCTGTCAGTTATGGAGGCAGTGACTGTGAATTGCTAAAACCAAATCAAATTCTATAATCACAGCCTCCGAGAATGAGGTTTCTGAGAAAACCATTTTCCTGCACAGCTTGAAGTGCCATTATTCCATTTAACCAGGTGGATATATGCTGGGTTTGCAGCTCTGAGACATCAAGTGTAAATTCTAAGTTTTGCATAATAACATTACTTACCATTCTCAAGGCCTAAGAGTGGTAGGCTTCCTTTGGAAATACATCAACTCTTTTCAGAGTACCTATAGTTAGTATCTCATGGTGGAATAATGAATATATTATCCTCTCACGCCCAGATAATTCCCTGTACTTAGACAAACAGAAGTATTATACCTCCCTATGTACCCAACTTGTTATTATAAATAATATTGGAAAAATATTGTGGATGAATGTTTGACAGTGTCCAAGACCTGGATCAATAAGTCCATAATGAAATATACTCTGTCACTCATTAAAATTGTCACATTTTTCATAACAAATTATACGATCACCCTGTGTATAAGTGACTCCTATTTCACTACCACAAACATATGTATATTGTATTTGTACTTTCTGGTGCTAAATCCTATGCTAATAGCATGTTCTACTGAACTGCTTCCTAAAAAATGACTTAGCTTTCTTGGTTACTTCTTTTTTATCATGATAGAAAATAAGGATAACCAGGAATCCTAAATTATTGGCAACCTTCTTTTAGGCATTATTGATTACTATATTGAGATATAGTCGGGCTTCCCTGGTTTGGTTTATTGCATAACTGTAAACTTCCCTCTACTGAACTGTGGAAATGTGCCCTATGGCATATTCAGATCTTTTAAGTGTGTAATTTTTAAAAGTATGAGTGCAACAGATATCAATAAGCACCCATTATATTAACAACTGAAAAACAAATAATAGCTACTATATGTATAGTGCTTACTACATGCTAGGCATTTTGCTAAGCTCTTTACATATATCAGATCATTCCATCTTCATCACAAATTTATGAAGTAGTTATCAGAATTATCTCTGTTTTACGGGCGAAAACTAAGACACAAAAGATTTTGCTTAGTTAACTCAACTTGAACAGTTGGTAAACAGCAAATGTAGGATTTCAACCCAGGAAGACTGGCTTGAGCCCGTAAAGTATGACATAGTCGCTACTCTAGACATGGTCTATGGATTTATAGCAAAAGACACTGAATAATTAAAAAATTTTCTCTAACAACTTACAAATTGATTGCACTATGTCATTGCTTCTTCTCTGTTGTTTTAGATTCCACCATGGCTTTCAAGTATGAAAAAGGGACCAGAACACACAAATTTATTTTAGCTGGTGGGGTTTTGGTAGCAAGTGTTAGAGAAGTGAGACTAAGGACTCTGAATTCCTAAGTGTTTTATAGCTTTTAGCCCAAGACACCTTCAGGAAAACAATAATAAAACAAAAAGAAGTTAAGATACTGACCTGTCCAGCTTATGTTGCAGTGAGAAAATCTCTTTAGGGCTTCTTGAAACTTCTACATTTCTAGTATTTAAATAGATGGTCTAGTATTATCATAATTTTAAAACTTGAGTAACAGCTAGCAACTAAGAAAAAATTATGCAAATAAGTGAAAGTAAAATTGTTGCTGTGAATAAAGCAACACGACCCTTTAGAAGTCATTAAATTGTAAATCAATTAACTAAAGATGATTCTCTGGGCATATTTATTTGAAGTTTTTTTCAGACCATTAGAAATTTTAAAAAAACTTGAAGCATTAAAACTTCAAAAGGCTTTTGATTGATTTGGATGGCAGTTTTCTGCATTTTGAAATTCTTTATACTACAGTTAGAATTTTTAAATTATTCTGATTAGATTCAACATTCCCATGCATAGAGGCCAAATAGTTATACAAATGGATAAATATAGCTTAAACTTCCAGATGTCAAAATGATGACAATGTCTTTTTAAGTTTTGATAATAGGGTTCAAACTGTAGGTGATACGCAGGTGTAAATGGAAAATGTCTAGCAAAAACTTGGGTATAATATTTCTCTCTGAAAGTAAATTGATAAGGTTAACACATAACGGAAGTATGATGTCATCTTGAAAACCAAAAAGTTCCCAGTTCCTCAAGATTTGACACTATAAGAAGTAACTTTTTAGATTGTCATTTAAAAAATACAATTGCTTTATTAGGAGAAATCCTGTAAATAAAGAACACTTTCATATCACAGGCTTCCTGAAAGTCTGGAGAGCTCAAGTTTAGAAAAATGAGATACAGCATTTATCCTCTGCAGGACAAAGAAAGAAGAATTTGGAAGATGGAGAACAGTGTAGAAAAAGAGAGGTAAGTAACAGGATGTGAAGAAGGAAGAAAGAGGAGTACAAGAAGGACGTGAGGTCGACCCTGCCTGCAGAGGAAGATCCAGAGAGAAAACCATAATGACAGTTGACTACAAGTAATTCTGGGAGACAGAGTGTCTAATAGAGATTTATTTATTTATTTATTTATTTATGAGACAGAGTCTCACTCTGTCACACAGGTTGGAATGCAGTGGCACCAGATCTCAGCCCACTGTAACCTCTGCCTCCCGAGCTCAAGTGATTCTTCCACCTCAGCCTCCCAGCTAGTTGAGACTACAAGCATGAGTACCAAGCCCAGCTAATTTTTGTATTTTTTGTAGAGATGGAGTTTCACCATGTTGCCTACGCTGGTCTCGAACTCCTGGGATAAGGCGATCCACCCTCCCAAGCATCCCAAAGTGCTGGGAAGTGGTGGCTCACCAGTCAGCCACTGTGCCCAGCCTAGAGATTTATTTAAGGAGCACATAACAAACATACTGGTATGAAGCCTCCCTTTGACACACGATGCATCGGCATAATCTGCCTACTGTAATCATTAATGTTTTCTGTAAGTAGGGATGTGTATATGTATGTAAAAATTTATAAAGGACAGACTATCACGTCTGAATAAATGCATGAAGGAGAAGAAGCAGGAATGTAATGACAGAGGAATAACTAAAATAATAACTATCCTCTGAGAACATACAGAAATCTTGGGAAAGGCTATGGACTCCAAGAAGCTCTAGAATTAGGAATTTAACAGGCAGTTTTACCTAGATCTCCATGGGCAGGGATTCTGTGGCTGACATTTATGTTATATTATCATGTTTAAAGAAAAATTCCTTTGATGGGAAAGAGATAGGTTTGAACAGCAATAAAAATGTAAAAACCAGGAATTCACAGAGGGAAATGTTAATAGTACTCATTCAGACACTGCAGGGAAGACAGTGTCTTGGCTCAGAACCAAACAACTCAGTTCCTGATGCCCTTTGTGGAGGCAGATGCATTAAGATACAATAAACAATATTTAGATTATTCCTGCACTCAACGACTATCTGCGAGCCACATAAAGCTGTGTGGAAGTACTGCTGCAATTTTCTTTTTTTTTTTTTTTTTCTTTTTTTTTTTATTTTATTTATTTTTTTTTTATTATACTCTAAGTTTTAGGGTACATGTGCACATTGTGCAGGTTAGTTGCATATGTATACATGTGCCATGCTGGTGCACTGCACCCACTAATGTGTCATCTAGCATTAGGTATATCTCCCAATGCTATCCCTCCCCGCTCCCCCGACCCCACCACAGTCCCCAGAGTGTGATATTCCCCTTCCTGTGTCCATGTGATCTCATTGTTCAATTCCCACCTATGAGTGAGAATATGCGGTGTTTGGTTTTTTGTTCTTGCGATAGTTTACTGAGAATGATGGTTTCCAATTTCATCCATGTCCCTACAAAGGATATGAACTCATCATTTTTTATGGCTGCATAGTATTCCATGGTGTATATGTGCCACATTTTCTTAATCCAGTCTATCATTGTTGGACATTTGGGTTGGTTCCAAGTCTTTGCTATTGTGAATAGTGCCGCAATAAACATACGTGTGCATGTGTCTTTATAGCAGCATGATTTATAGTCCTTTGGGTATATACCCAGTAATGGGATGGCTGGGTCAAATGGTATTTCTAGTTCTAGATCCCTGAGGAATCGCCACACTGACTTCCACAATGGTTGAACTAGTTTACAGTCCCACCAACAGTGTAAAAGTGTTCCTATTCCTCCACATCCTCTCCAGCACCTGTTGTTTCCTGACTTTTTAATGATTGCCATTCTAACTGGTGTGAGATGATATCTCTTTATTAAGTGTCAACTGCTCAGTAATGCTTACTATAAAAACTATTAAAATTATAGTTCTGATGCCCCCCAAAAAAAAAAAAACCAGAAGCCAAGAAATTAACATAAAGTTGGCCCGGGTTGGTAATGTGCCATACTGTCTGGAAAAAACAAATACGGATCCTCTCTGTAATGACTCACCCTTAGTTAAGCCTTTTAAAATACTCCCAGATTTTAAGATTGTCCAATATAGGCTCAGAGTCAAAAACTGTAAAACATATGTGTAAGGGACAGCTAAACTGACATAGACTCCTAAGGACTTATAGGAATGATCAGAAACAAATTAACATTTAAAGAGATGAAAAATGAAAAAATTAAAGATCTTAGAAATGATTCAAAATTATGTAAATTAAGAACTCTTGTCCTGGAAACCTATGCTGGGGAAAGCACCAATAGGATTTGGCAAGGACTTGTCATGATTAACTGAATAGATGAAGAAAACAGATATTGATGGGATGTTAAGGACTGACAAGGAAAAAGGAAGAGAAAAGAGAAGATTATGAAATGCAAATGTGTATATTTAGCAACAAATCAGATGGCCAGAGTAAATGACAAATACCAATAAAAAATGGCTGAGATTTCATTCTTTGGAAAGTCAGTCTCAGATGAGGAAGCTGTAAGTATTCACAAAGTTCATGGAAAACACTAAATTTCTTTAGGTCATCAAAAAAATATGAGAAGATACTCCTTCAAACATGAAATTATTCTCACATTCATAGGAGTATTCTAATTTAAAAGTATTCCTATATTTTTAAAAATTAAAAAAATTAAAAGCAAAAAAAAAAAAAAGATACAATAAACAGATGCTATTAAATAAATCCTTTCACTAATATCCTTTTTCATTTCATTCTATATTTAGCAATATGGAATATAATATTCTGATTATAATTTGGCTTGTTCTTTTACTACAATTATGCTATTTTTAATTAATAAAGTGACTTTTATGCATCAGCTTTATGAACTTAGTTAATGGGCATCTATCAGTGAAATGGATATACTCTAAAAGCTGAAAGATCGAACTTACTGACACACACAAATGAAGTCCAGACCCTGGACCATGGCAAATATACCAGCTGGTATGTAAAATGTAAAGTCTCTTAGTAAAAAAGCCAAGTTAGCTTTTCTTAATGACAACCAGTGGTTCTCAACACAGAGCTTTTACCTGAATATCCTTGTAACCTATTATAGTTACCTTAATCCATGGCAAACTGACGGTAGATTAGACAAGCTAATATAATATATAGACACACGACCATACACATATGTATATAGCATGTATATGGGAGTATATTTTTACTAGTAAAACTTTTATAATTTATAAAGACCTGGTGAGTCTGTTGAAATTGTGGTAATTATTATTTCACTGTATTTAAAAACAATAATGTGTTAGAAACTATTTAGAATATATTAATTTATCTTCCTTCTTCCCTTCACTGTCTTAAATAGTTAAATTAAGAAGTGTTGCTTGACCACAGAATGTGATTCTTGATACACCATTTGTTTCATATCACTCTCTTCTACTAGGACACTAATAACAGATTGTAAAAAATAATAATGATAATATCTGTTGGTGATATTTTGACTTAGCCCTTTAAGTCAGGTAGACTTTATACACAGATGAACATCTTAAAGAGCGGTTGTATAAAAGAAGAATAGCTAAAACATCTACTTGGAAACGAGAGTAAAACTAATAGAGGAGCCATAGACTGGAAGAATGGAATGAACCATATTCTAAAAATTTTGATGAATGCAAGCAGTAGGCATGTTAGGAATGAGAAAATAAGATATATCAATAATTATGATTAATGATTATGGTTTACTTTTCCAAAGCAAGTGCAGTTAAAGTGAGGGAAAGATCCAGAGAGTGTCTGTTAGAACTCTTTGCCAAAGGGTATTTGAATTCAATATTGCTTGGCTCCAAGAAGCCACAAAAACTCGAGACCAAGGTTGTGAATAATAAGCCACATTGTCCCTAGAAAATTGATAGGACATGAGGAGACACAGATACCACGGACAAGAAACCAAAATTCTCAACCAAGTTTGGTAGATGAGGAATGAATCTCAGAGAAGGAAGGATCTTTTCAAGAGGAAGGAAGAATCACAGAACCATCACAATACCAATCCTTTCTGCAGACTCCATGGCATGTGGAATGCTGGAGAACATGGAAATGGTAGTGAAGGGCTCAGAGGTCCCTGGCCCTGAATCAGTTTATTTGCATTTGACTCTGCTGCTTTCCATTCAAGAGACTTTAGGAAGTTTTACCCATCTGTTAAAGATGGATGCATTAATTATCTTACTGGATTATTGAAAGATCAATAATATAAAATAAAGTATACCAAGCAAGTAACAATACCTAGCACAGAATAAATGGTCATTAACCAATAGCCAGTGGTATTTATTAGAAATGTTAACCTTAAAGAGCTATGATGTCTTTCCTTTGAGATTTTTCCGTTAAGGAAGGAAGCAAAAAGGAACATTCGACAAACAAGATGAACATATAAGGGGATTGACTTAATCAACAGTAGTCATTCCAGAGAGCCCAGCTGAAATAATTTAGTGGGTGGGGAAGAATTGGTGGTTTATATTAAAATAAGAGCATTTTAGGAAAAGATACCACTTACGGCTTGTATTTTGACTACTGGAAAATGGTAATTAAAGTGAGAGACATGATGGGACTAACCACGCATCCAAGGAACCATACACGGATGGGGGATCATCCGAGGACAAAGATTTGGTCTTCTATCTCTATGCTAAGCAATGCCTAGACTAAAGGCTTTCCTTTTAGGTCTTACATCTTTCAGAACCTCTATACAATGCTCCCCTTCTGCTGATCCCTCAAAAACATTGACCAACTCTGAACAAGGGATGGTCAATGTTTTTTTAACAAGCTCTACAACACCATTATAAGTTCAGTCACCCACTGCATTAGTCAGAGTCCTCTGAGAAACAGATGCCAGCAAGATGGGTTTAAATAAGTAAAGATTTTTTAGGGGAAATGCGAGGGTGTGGGAAGAGTTGGAATGTGTAACAAGAAAGCAGAGAAGGCTGGGAGAGAGGCTTGGATGGAAGGTTCCCAGACTGACATGTCCTTAGGGATGAAGGTTTTGACAAAGCCCTTAAGGGAGTCCTTTGGCCAACAAAGGAGTTCCGGCACTGGCAGGAGCAGGTCTGCCATCTGGTTCATGCTGCACCCTCGCACTCAGTCATTGGCAGGGAGCCTCCCTGGTGGACATGGCCTCAACCTGGTCAATGGACTTCAAATCTCTACTGTTCTGACCTCCTACTGTTCTTCCAGGTGCATTCTCAAGGCTTCCACATCAACTGAACAGGATTAACTTGGATCTAATTCCTCAGTACAGATTTCAATCCTATGCTGGATTGGTTTCACTGCCTACTACATATTTCACCTTAAATACATGCCACAGGATCTCCCAGCTCAATATGTCCCAAGCTAAAGTCCCAAACTTTCATTGCCTCCTTTCCCAATACCCCTACCTTAATCTGTTTTTCTATGTTCCATACATTGAATTGCATCAAAATCTATTCAGTTAGTTCAAACTTGAGGTAAAACCAAAATCTAAAGTCATCAAAGATTTCTCTTCTTTTATTCCATCAATTTCTTTCAGTGTCAACTATCTGAAATTTGTCCCTCTTCGTTGTCATTACCTTAGGATGGCCTAGGGTATTGCCAAGTCCCTAGTGTCTCTCACTTTAAATGCTGGGATAGGCTGCTGACTTGTGTAGTTGCAAATGTATTTTCCACATTGTCTTTTACGAGTCTCAGTAAAATTCTATTCTTATCAGGTTATCTTCCTGCATAAATCCCTCAGTTTTTACACCCTTTTAGAAAGAGCTGAAGCATGCATGCATGACACACAGGTTGGAATTCTGCTTTCTTTTACATCCTTATACTCTGTTAATATCTACCAGCCTCCCTGGGCTCTGGCCATATGGAAATTGCTGGACTTAACTGAACTCAAAATGCACTTTATAGGCTTCTGTTTCTTTGCTGATACTACTTCTGCTTTGTGGAGTGCATCTTTCCTTCTCTCTGGCCATTTTCTACATTATTTTCTACAGCAAAATAAAATGATGCTTCTCAAAGAAAAGTGAAGAATTTGAGATCATCAAAAATGTAAGTTTAAGTAACAAATAGTTGAAACAGGTGATCCTTAGGGAAAAAAAAAGGATTTTATTTTAAGGACAAGAGGATGAGGGCAAAAACATGTTTATTTGTTTAATGATGCAGTTAGAACTATGAAGCAGCAAATTTGGTTTAAGAACAGAATGGAAAAATCAGGGGTTGATTGGACAGAATATGTTAGATAATTATACCATGACTATGTTTTAAGTGACAATTCTTATATTTTAAAGATATATGCTACTATATTTAGGGGTGAAATGATATAAAGCCTAGATTTTGCATCAAAATAATCCAGAGGAAGGTTAGTAAGGAAGGTAATGAATTCAGAATCATTTAAGCTGAAGAATAAGAATATAGTAATATACTATTCTCTATCTACGTTTTACATTTTTTAAACATTAAGCTGCTTTTAAAGACCCTGGGAAATAGTAATAATAACATGGTAAAGAAATAAGAATGGAAAAAGTACTTAGCATAAAGACATGGATAGGTGTCTATTGTGTAGATATAGTGAGATATATACATGAGGTTTGCAAGGCAGAATAAATAAGACACCTCTAAGGAAAGTTTTTTTAAAAATGAAAATAGAGTTTATGAAAGTCTTTAGAAAGTCTTGTAATAAGTAAGACTAAACCACAACAAAAAACCCTCAAATATTTCTATGTGCCTGTGTGTGCACGTGTGTATTTGTGAAGGACAGAAGTGAAGAAAAGCCAAATATGTCAAAAAGGAAAAAAAGAAAAACTGAGTGCATTTCATTGGCTTTGGAGTCCTGCAGGTTTCTCACTACAGAGGTAAATGTCCTGATCCCTGAGGCAGAAGCCTGAGGCTGTGCACTTTGCCTTAGAACAGTTCCACTGTCTCATTTCACAGGGAGATGTCCCTGGGTACATTACTCTAAAAATACGAAAAATCCTAGAACTGAATTTTCCTGCTGAAAGGGTTGCTTATGGCAATTTTCACAATTGGATCCTCAGATGTTCCTTTGGCACTCAAGCATCCTTTAGATTGTGGAACATTTAGACAATGCACATAATTGATATATACTGATTTGTCTTCACTGAGACTCCAGATAGAATGGCAAAAGTCCCATCTGTACTCCTCCCCCTCACCGCTACCTCAATTGGCCCTGCCTTGGAGAACACAACAATATTAACAAAGCCATCCCTTACTTGTGATTATTGATTTCATCTAATTTTCATACTGTCACTCATGATAGATACGGTTAATTTTTGCTGTTCTGTATGTATATTGGATATTGTCATTTATACCATTAATCACACACATAATTGTCATAAGAACAGAAATGCCTTTTCTTAGACATTTCATTCTAAAATATAATTATCCAGACATCCTGCTGTTAATGGCATTGAATCCTAATTACTTCAAAATGAAGCCATTATTCATAAACTTAGAACCTGCGCCACACATGTTTATAGTAAGTAGATGGGACAATATTATAAAATTTATTATCTACTGTAGTGCTTATTTTTAGAAGCTGATTTAACTGCTCAGCTCCTTAGTACTGCTTTTGTCCAATCTCATTAACATATGATAAAATTTACTAGTTTTTATTTAGTGTAAAAAATGATAGTAGAAATTATTCCTCACTGGCATTCAGAACTACTTGGAAAACTACTCAGTTAATAACAAATGCCTTCATAACACAAACTGGGCCACCAGTAAAATGACATCTTCCATTATGATTTTCTGTCACAGATGTATACTAACAGATTATTTCTCAAATAATTTGTGATCTAATGATGGGAATTCACAATACAATAATCATATATTACATTGCTATGATACTTTCTGGCTTGTTTTCCTAACTCCCTTAGCATTTATCAATATCTGCATTTCTGCCAATCCAGGGCCCTTTTACCCTCAGGAAGCTATTCATTTTTTTTTCAAGTCCTTCAGTTACTCATAAATTGGAATTTTGCATTAATTTTAAGGAGCACTTCATTAAGTAAATATCCCAAATAATTTCTGTACCTTCCTCTTGTTCCCTCTGTTGTTAAAATCATTAATATCCTATTCAAGTCTATTTGTAAAAACTTACTCTGATATTTGTGTGTGAAATGTTTACTAGTTTTACATCTTAATGTTTAATGCCTATTTGATTATCCTTCATATATGATTTAAATTTGTTGTACTTTTCTGTTTTTCAAAAACAGAAAAGTTTCTAGTGAAGCAGTCAAATTTTAAAGATCCAAAATGATCTCCTTTGACTCCAGGTCTACAACCAGGTCACGCTGATGTAAGAGGTGGGTTCCCATGGCCTTGGGCTGCTCTGCCCTTGTGGCTTTGAAGGGTACAGCCTCCCTCTTGGCTGCTTTCACAGGCTGGTGTTGAGTGTCTGCAGCTTTTCTAGGCACACACTGCAAGCTGTCCGTGGATCTACCATTATGGGGTCTGGAGGATGGTGGCCCTCTTCTCCATGCCCCATCTCTCTTTGAGGCATGAAGAAATAGACACTCTCTGATATGGTTTGGCTCTGTGTCCCCAACCAAACCTCATTTTGAATTGTATTCCCATAATTCCCATGTGCTGTGGGAGGAACCTGGTGGGAGATAATTTTAATATGCAGGCGGTTTCCTCCATACTGTCCTCATGGTAGTGAGTAAGTCTCACAAGATCTGATGGGTTTATCAGGGGTTTCCGCTTTTGCTTCTTTCTCACTTTCTCTTGCCTCTGCCATGATAGAAGTGCCTTTTGCCTCCCGCCATGATTCTGAGGCCTCCCCAGCCAAGTGGAACTATAAATACATTTAAAACTCTTTTTCCCCCCAGTCTAGGGTATGTCTGTATCACCAGTGTGAAAATGGACTAATACAGTAAATTGGTACCAGTACAGTGGGGCGTTGCTGAAAAGATACCCAAAAATGTGGAAGCCATTTTGGAACTGCGTAACAGGCAGAGGCTGAAACAGTTTGGAGGGCTCAGAAGAAGACAGGAAAATGTGGGAAAGTTTGGAACCTTCTAGAGTCTTGCTGAATGGCTTTGACAATAATGCTGATAGTGATATGAACAATAAAGTCCAGGATGAGGTGGTCTCAGACGGAAATGAGGCTTGTTGGGAACTGGAGCAAAGTTGATTCTTGTTATGTTTTAGCAAAGAGATTGGCAGTATTTTGCCCCTGCCCTGGAGATTTGTGAAACTTTGAACTTGAGAGAGATCATTTAGGGTATCTGGTGGAAAAATTTCTAAGCAGCAAAGCATTCAAAAGCTGACTTGGGTGCTGTTAAACACATTCCATTTTAAAAGGGAAACAGAGCATAAAAGTTCAGAAAATTTGCAGCCTGACAATGCAGTAGAAAAGAAAAACCCATTTTTTAAGAAAAAATTCAAGCCGCCTGCAGAAATTTGCGTAAGTGGCAAGGAGCCTAATGTTAATCCTCAAGACTATGGGGAAAATGTCATCAGGCCATGTCAGAGACCTTCATGGCAGCTCCTCCCATCACAGGCCTGGAGGCGCAAGAAGAAAAAGTGGTTTCGTGGGCCTTAGCCCAGGGTCCCGGTGCTGTGTGCTGCCTAGGGATTTGGTGTCCTATGTCCCAGCCGCTCCAGCCATCGCTGAAAGGTGCCAATGTAGAGCTCAGGCTGTGGCTTCAGAGGGTACAAGCCCCCAAGTCTTTGCAGTTTCCAAGTAGTGTTGAGCCTGAAGGTGCACAGAAATCAAGAACTGAGGTTTGGGGACCTCTTCCTAGATTTCAGAAGATATATGGAAATGCCTGGATGCCCAGGCAAAAGTTGCTACAGGGGCAGGGCCCTCATGGAGAACCTCTGCTAGCACAGTGCAGAAGGGAAATGTGAGGTGGGAGCCCCCACACAGAGTCCCTACTGCGACACTGCCTAGTGTAGCTGTGAGAAGAGGGCCATTGTCTTCCAGACCCCAGAATGGCAGATCCACCAACAGCTTGCACCGTGTGCCTGGAAAAGTTGCAGACACTCCATGCCAGCCAGTGAAAGCAGTTGGGAGGGAGGCTGTACCCTGTAAAGCTCCAGGTGTGCAGCTGCCCAAGGCCATGGGAAACCACCTCTTACATCAGCATGACCCGGATGTAGACCTGGAGTCAAAGGAGATCATTTTGGAGCTTTAAAATTTGACTACCTCCCTGGATTTCGGACTTAAATGGGCCCTGTAACCACTTTGTTTTGGCCAATTTCTCCCATTTGGAATGGCTGTATTTACCCAATGCCTGTACCCCCACTGTATCTAGGAAGTAACTAGCTTGCTTTTGATTTTACAGGCTCATAGGTGGAAGGGACTTGCATTATGTCAGATAAGACTTTGGACTGTGAACTTTTGGGTTAATGCTGAAATGAGTTAAGACTTTGGGGACTGTTGGGAAGGCATGATGTGTTTTGAAATATGAGGATATGAGGTTGGGAGGTGCCAGGGGCAGAATCTTATGGTTTGGCTCTGTGTCCCTACCCAAATCTCATTTTTAATTGTATTCCCATAATTCTCATGTGCTGTGGGAGGAACATGGTGGGAGATAATTTGAATCATGGGGATGGTTTCCCCCCATACTGTCTTCATGGTAGTGAATAAGGCTCACAAGATCTGATGGGTTTATCAGGGGTTTCTGCTTTTGCTTCTTTCTCTTTTTCTCTTGTCACTGCCATGTTAGAAGTGCCTTTTGCCTCCTGCCATGTGGAACTGTAAGTCCAGTTAAACCTCTTTTTTTTCCCCCAGTCTTGGGTATATCTTTATCAGCAGCATGAAAATGGACTAATACACTCTCCTAATTTTGTGGAGGAGCAAAAAATGGCACAAATACTCTGGATCATCATTTTTTAACACATGCTAAGATCTTCTTAGTGTATTCAATTCTAAGAGATAACTCATAATGCAAACAAAATTTAAGCATTAATAGAGTCATCACATCATTATTTTTAATGAAGAAAAATTTTAAATGACACATATATCCTATACTATTTAAAAAATTGAAAAAATAAGTTATTCCATAGCCACACAGTATACATAAAGAATCTCTCCAAAGCAGACTGGCTTCATTTTTTACTGCTACTTTTGTTATTTCTTCTTGCTATTCTTGTTTTTTCATTGTCACCACCAATACATCAAGATCTCCATGCGGTCTTCTCAGCTTTAATGATTTCTAAAGTACAGAAGAGTTGAAAGAAATGAGTAAAGTAGCCTTCAGGTTTCCCAGCACTACATTTAATTAGACAACTCACCCCTCTCTCTTCACACCCCTGCTTTAGAAAGTCAGAGAACTAAGTAAAATACTCTGTTACTCAGAGTTCTCTAGAGGGACAGGACTAATAGGAAAGATGTATATATGAAAGGGAGTTTATTAAGGAGTACTGACTCACGATCACAAGGTGAAGTCCCACAATAGGCCATCTGCAAGCTGAGGAGCAAGAAAGCCAGTCTGAGTCCCAAAATCTCAAAAGTAGGGAAGCTGACAGTGCAGCCTTCAGTGTGTGACCGAAGGCCTGAGAGCCCCTGGCAAACCACTATTGCAGGTCCAAGAGTTCAAAAGCTGAAGAAGTTGTGAAACGGCCTTTGCGAAATTATGACTGAAACAGTGAAAGAGATCTGACTTAACCAACTCCATCTTGCTTCTGGTAGTAGGCTGAACTAACTTTGGGAGAAACTTAGTTTATAGTTTATAGTTTAAAACAAAGATGGTAACAGCCCTTTCCCAAAGTAGACCTTCTTCTTGCCTGGGGACTAGATTGCTTTTGTAGGACTAACATTAGCCAAAAGATTAGAAATTATGATTTAGGAGTCATGCAGCTGGAGGCTGGCTACAAGATTCTGACCCTCCCTAAGCTACTCCTAAGATCAGTGTTTGAGATATTTTTCAGACCCTGCACTTGATGGATCAGCTCGCACCACCCAGATCAATAAACTGGCTCATCCGATCTTGTGGCTCCCACCCAGAAACTGACTCTATGGCAAGAAGACAGCTTCGACTCCCTGTGATTTCATCCCTAAGCAATCAGCACTCCTGGCTCACTGGCTTCCCCCTATCCATCAAGTTGTCCTTAAAAACTCTGCTCCCGGAACGCTCAGGGAAAATGATTTGAGTAATAATAAAACTCCAGTCTCCTAAACAGCTGGCTCTGCGTGAATTACCCTTTCTTTATTGCAATTCCCCTGTCTTGATAAATTGACTCTGTCTAGGTAGCAGGAAAGGTGAACCCCTTGGTGGTTACATGTGGAGTCCAATGTTTTGAAGGCAGGAATCATCCAGCATGAGAGAAAGATGGAGGCCAGAAGACTCAGGCCAGTCTAGTCCTTCCACGTTCCTTTGTCTGCTTTTATCCTAGCCACGCTGGCAGCTGATTAGATGGTGCCCACCCAGCTTGAGGGTGGGTCTTCCTCTCCCAGTCCACTGTCTCAAATGTTAATCTCCTTTGGCAACACCCTCACAAAAACACCCAGGAACAACAGTTTGCATTCTTCAATCCAATCAAGATGACCCGCAATATTAACCATCACAAATAGTATCACTGAGATAATCAGCACAGTCATTCTACCTGATTAAATATTTACAAGCCAGATGCATTTGTTGAGAATTTATCTGGTATAGATAATGGTGTGATAAAATTTATCTTTTTCTCTATTTTTTATGCCTGGTGGCCCTAAAATGGTTATTATTAAATTCATTAATATTACCTTTCTGCTGATATCCCACCATTGAGGAAGTGGTAGATTTTTGTAGGACTAAGTCACACAGGCATATGAGATTTGTGAAGGCTGGGCATATCAGATATCACAGATTCCGGGCTCTAGACTCATAGAGCCTATATGTTCAGTTTCACAGTACAGTATGGTCTTTAGTGAAGCTATTTAAAGTTATGCTTATAAAGAGCTGTTTTTTAATTGAAAAGAAGGAAATACTTAAGGAAATGTTAGAGGAGAAAACAGGGAAACAAAATTAAAAGACAGTTTGATCCCAGTTATATAAGATAATATGACTAGATGGAAAGATGTATACTAATATAGATTTCTCCTACATAACTTATTTAGATAAGCAAATTTTTTCTAAGGATTTAAATATTTGGTGGTCGTTTTCAAGCTATCCAACCCACCGCTACCTACAAATGAAAAAGTAACATGAATCTCTATTAAGAACTTCATTTGTCCCAACCATCTTCCTTCACACATGCACATACACAAACCACAAACTTACGGCATATGTTCTGAGACTTTCTGAATAACTAAAATTATGGATGTGAGAGCTTTTAAACATATAAATTATTAGAGGCAGATAATGTAACAGAGAATACCTGCACAAAGATTCTGAGTGGTTAACACTGTATAGTCAGATACAAGTAACTTTCCTTTATACATCATATTGTTCATGTTTTCTGTAATAAGCGTGTAATTTTACAATAAGAAAAAATAGGCATTTATGCATTATTTTTTATTATGTACTTTAAGCAGAGAACTTGTGTTTCAAAATAAGCCAGTAGAATCTGATATCTGCTCTCAATTTTTGATGTTGTTAACTAAACTTTGTGATGTTCTTTATTGATATCTTACCTTCCTCTTCCACTTGGCTGCAATGAAAGCTGCCTGCTAAGTCAGACATTATATTTTATAGCCCACAAATACCATGGGAAAGTATGTTACTCTGCTGGTGGAAGATATAGGAATAATAATAACAATATTTACTAATCTTTTATGTGTAAAGACACTCTCCTGATGGTTTTATTTGTATTAATGCATGGAATCCTCATATCCCTATGATACTACTTTCCTAACGAGGAAACAAACTGAGGTTCTGAGACGTTAAATAATCTGCTCAAATTCACCCATTGAATGAATGGTGAGCCCACAATTGAGGCCAAATGAACCAATTCCAGAATCCACTCTATTAATCTTATGATTTAATAAATAATACATAATTCAATTGGCAACAAAAACTGCAATTCATTTTCACTTGATTTCTAATAAAGTCTAAAAACTTTTCTAAGAACAGTTTTTGGCATGTCATAAGCTCTCAATAAAAAAATATGGAGTATTACTAATATCCTTATGTTATAATTATTACCTTTCATCATTTTACTTCTTAATATTTTAAAAATTTATTGTATATAAGAAAAATTCTCAGACTCCTGTTAATCTACATACCTTTTGCATGTCTGTTTAAATTTTTGAGAAATCTTTAATTAATTGACTTGATTAGTACTTTCGTTATATGTAATTTCTTAACTTCTTGTCTTCCATTATTTCCATCATTATCTTCTGCAGAAACAACAGTGTAATTAAGAGACACCAACATTGAAGGAGTCTAAAACCTAGGAGAATGCTTATAGGATCTTATCATTTACAGTGTTACAGATATGTGATGCCGGCTAGAATGTATAATTAAATTACTCAACAGATGGTTTGTGTCTCATTCTGGATTAATAGTGTGAAATTCTTTTGCTTAATAAATTCTTTAATATCACTCATCCTTTTACATCATAGTTTTTATTAACATTCTTATAGTATTTGTCACTCATCCTGTTATGTTTCCTTGGTACTTCACTTATTCATACATCCATTCATCTGCATTTATCACCTAGTGTATGTTAAACAGTGTGCCAGACAATAGGATTCAGAAAATGAAGACATGGCTCTAGTTTTCAAACATTATATTTGTTAGAGAAGATAAACAACAAAGAAAGTCAATTACGACATCATGCAGTAAATACTCTTTTAGAAATTGGACAGTCTGCTGTGAAATAAAGACAGTACACCTGATTATCTTTGCAAGTGAGAAGAGACATCGTGAGAAAGATGCCAGAAAATATTTCCTCAAAAAACTGATAACAAGAGCCTGCTTGAAAGTGCTGGAATTCGCTAAGGAAAAGTGGGTGTAGATATGAGAATATATGCATGAACATACGTGTGTGTGTGTGGGTGTGTGTCTTTACATTGTGGGGAGGGAGTGAAGAAAAAACTGGCACAAGACAAGTATGTCCTCTCTCACCACTCCTATTTAACGTAGTATTGGAAGTTCCGACCAGGGCAATTAGGTAAGAGAAAGAAATAAAGGGTATTTTAATAGGAAGAGAGGAAATCAAATTGTCTCTGTTTGCAGATGACATGATTGTATATTTAGAAAACCCCATTGTCTCAGCCCAAAATCTCCTTAAGCTGATAAGCAACTTCAGCAAAGTCTCAGGATACAAAATCAATGTGCAAAAATCACAAGCATTCTTATACACCAATAACAGACAAACAGACAGCCAAATCATGAGTGAACTCCCATTCACAATTGCTTCAAAGAGAATAAAATACCTAGGAATCCAACTTACAAGGGATATGAAGGACCTCTTCAAGGAGAACTACAAACCACTGCTCAATGAAATAAAAAAGGATACAAACAAATGGAAGAACATTCCATGCTCATGGGTAGGAATAATCAATATAGTGAAAATGGCCATACTGCCCAAAGTAATTTATAGATTCAATGCCATCCCCATCAAGCTACCAATGACTTTCTTCACAGAATTGGAAAAAACTACTTTAAAGTTCATATGGAACCAAAAAAGAGCCTGCATCGCCAAGGCAATCCTAAGCCAAAAGAACAAAGCTGGAGGCATCATGCTACCTGAC
The DNA here is from genome assembly GCF_000001405.40 of Homo sapiens. Lineage (NCBI taxonomy): Eukaryota > Metazoa > Chordata > Mammalia > Primates > Hominidae > Homo > Homo sapiens. Next base: position 115,593,343 of record NC_000006.12, read on the forward strand.
TTCAAACTATCCTACAAGGCTACAGTAACCAAAACAGCATGGTACTGGTACCAAAACAGAGGTATAGATCAATGGAACAGAACAGAGCCCTCAGAAATAATGCCGCATATCTACAACTATCTGATCTTTGACAAACCTGAGAAAAACAAGCAATGGGGAAAGGATTCCCTATTTAATAAATGGTGCTGGGAAAACTGGCTAGCCATATGTAGAAAGCTGAAACTGGATCCCTTCCTTACACCTTATACAAAAATTAATTCAAGATGGATTAAAGACTTACATGTTAGACCTAAAACCATAAAAACCCTAGAAGAAAACCTAGGCAATACCATTCAGGACACAGGCATCAGCAAGGACTTCATGTCTAAAACACCAAAAGCAATGGCAACAAAAGCCAAAATTGACAAATGGGATCTAATTAAACTAAAGAGCTTCTGCACAGCAAAAGAAACCACCATCAGAGTGAACAAGCAACCTAAGGAATGGGAGAAAATTTTTGCAACCTACTCATCGGACAAAGGGCTAATATCCAGAATCTACAATGAACTCAAACAAATTTACAAGAAAAAACAAACAACCCCATCACAAAGTGGGCGAAGGATATGAACAGACACTTCTCAAAAGAAGATATTTATGCAGCCAAAAAATACATGAAAAAATGCTCATCATCACTGGCCATCGGAGAAATGCAAATCAAAACCACAATGAGATACCATCTCGCACCAGTTAGAATGGCAATCATTAAAAAGTCAGGAAACAACAGGTGCTGGAGAGGATGTGGAGAAATAGGAATACTTTTACACTGTTGGTGGGACTGTAAACTAGTTCAACCATTGTGGAAGTCGGTGTGGTGATTCCTCAGGGACCTAGAACTAGAAATACCATTTGACCCAGCCATCCCATTACTGTGTATATACCCAAAGGATTATAAATCATGCTGCTATAAAGACACATGCATATGTATGTTTATTGCGGCACTATTCACAATAGCAAAGACTTGGAACCAACCCAAATGTCCAATAATGATAGACTGGATTAAGAAAATGTGGCACATATACACCATGGAATACTATGCAGCCATAAAAGAGGATGAGTTCATGTCCTTTGTAGGGACATGGATGAAGCTGGAAACCATCATTCTCAGCAAACTACCACAAGGACAAAAAAACAAACACTGCATGTTCTCACTCATAGGTGGAAATTGAACAATGAGAACACATGGACACAGGAAGGGGAACATCACACACCAGGGATTGTTGTGGGGTGGGGGGAGGGGGGAGGGATAGGATTAGGAGATATACCTAATGCTAAATGACGAGTTAATGGGTGCAGCACACCAACATGGCACATGTATACATATGTAACAAACCTGCATGTTGTGCACATGTATCCTAAAACTTAAAGTATAATAATAATAAAAAAAGACACTGAAAATTTCCATCACCCCAGAAGTTACCATGTGCCCCTTTGAAATAAATCCTCAACTCTCCACCCTAAAAAAAAAAAAAATTATTGTCCTACCTAATATGTGAATCAGTTCTGATAAATTTATATCTTGTGTTTTTTTTTGCATGTTTTCTGTTGTGTGTGTTAGAGAATACGGCATTTGAACCTATTTTCCCTGAATGTGTTGCAATATTTTTATAATAGCCACTGCATTTCATTTGTGTAAGGTTATCTACTTGGACAGCATACAAATAGTCATTAGAAGGCCTCTAGAAGATGAATCCCTATTACATAAATGTGACATTGAGGCTGTTTTACAGTGTTATCATTTAGCACTCTCTTTAATGACTGTTGCTTCAAGTATTTATTGATTACACCAGCTGTGGCTTAAAATCTGGGTCCCTGCCTTTAATACTAGGCTTCTCAGACTCCTCATATCTCAATTTCTATTTACAGCACCATTTAATGGGTGTTCTTTTGTGGCATTTTTGGCTAAGGCTTTTAATTAAAGGAACATATTTATGACCTTGGAATTTGAAATTAGGCAGGTTTAATTGCAGTATTTTTATTATATAACTTTATTTTCTCTTGTAATGTCTTAATTAGATGTTCTAATGTTCTGTTTCAAAATGAATTTCTACTTAAACAGCCTGAAGGTAGAAACACAGCTTTTTTTTTTAAAGAAAATCATTTTGACAAAAATTTTTTATACTCAGAAAGATATATTTTTCTAGGTTACACATTATTTCATGAAGCCAGGAAAATAGAAAAGTGTGAAGACATTTTATTGTTAGTTAAATAATAAGCTAGATTCTAGCATATATTTTATTATTAAAAACCTTGAAATAAAATTGTCCCTTTTAGACTTTTATACACGTCACAATTTTAAATGTTTTACAAAGTATATTTTGATATTTCTATTACAATTTTTAAAATTTAAATATTTAATAATGTCCATGATATTTCTTCAATAATCTGAGTTATTTCATACATTCTTTTCTAAGTAAAGAGATTTATTAAGCCAAGACTTAACAGAGAGCTAAATAAATACCCTAAAGGGAAGAGAAACTGAAGTCAACGGTGGAACTGAAATTTGACACTTAATGGTGTCCAATTCAAGGTATTAGTTTCTAACATTAAAATTCCACAAGCAGTGGAATTTGACCAGTGTAAAAATCAGTTTTCAACAGAAGGCACTACTCCATTAATCTACTTAATTCATCTCCTCCAGGATCTTCAATTTTTTCTTTCCATTGGTGTTTTGACAACAGCTTTTAAACATTTCAAACTCTTCTATCTCTACATTAATAATATATATATTTTATTTTTTCTAATAAATTGTATGAGGTACAATAAAATGTATACATTTCAAGTGTGAAGACTGATGCATTTGACAGTCAATATATAAAAAATTTCCATCAATACATAAAGTTTTCTTATGTCCTTTTGCAGTCACTAATCCACATAACCTCTCAGCAGCCACCAATTTGCTTTCTGTCACTATAAATTCATTTTGACTATTCTAAAAATTTCACATTACATATATGAAATAATGTGCTGTGCATGGCTTCTTTTGCTCAACATAATATTTTTGAGATGTGTTCATGTTGTGTATGTCTATAGTTCATTCCTTTTTAACTGATGAGTAGTATTTCATTACATGGATATACTATAATGTGTCTTTCACTTATCAATTGATATTTTGGTTATTTCCAATTTTAGCTATTATGAATATATTTGCTATGAATATTTAAATATAAGTCTTTGTATGGATCTATGCTTTTATTTTTCTTGATTAAATACCTAGGAACTGGATTGCTGAGTTATCTCAGTGAACACATGTTTTAAGAAACTGCTAAAATGGTCCCAAGCAGTTGTACCATGTTACATTTAAATCAACAATATATGAGACCTCCAGTTGCTCCAAATCCTCTCCAACTCTTGGTATTGCCAGTCTTTTAAATAGATGTGTACTACTGTCTATGATTTTAATTTTCATTTCCGTGATGATTAAAGATGTCGAACATCTTTTTATTGGCCATTTTTCCATCTCCTTTTCCCTACTTATTGGCTATTTTTGTATTTTCTTTTGTGAAGCATTAATATAAATATTTTTTCACTTTAAAATTAATTTTTGTCCCATTATTTATGTATATTTTTTCTTGAGGTAGATCTTGTCTTATTATCGAGGTATATTTTGTCCTAATGTATTCCTTACAAAGTCATTTTTTGTATATACATATTGTGAATATTTTTTCCCAGTACTAAGTGTAAATATTTATTTTAACAGTGTCCTTCAAAGAGCAGAACAAAAATAAATCAACCGTTTATAATGAGCCTATTTCTAGACCCTATATTCCATTTAATTTTAATAGATGGATAATGGAACATCAACTTGATAATTGCAGTTATACAGTAAGTCTTGAAACCAGGTAGTGTGTGTCTTCCAACTTTTTTTTCCTCTTTCAAAACTGTTTTGATTATTTTAGGTTTTTGTGAATTTCTATAAAATTTTTTAGAATATGCATTAAATGTTTATTAACATACAAAGTGACCAAACTGCTGAGTCATTTAAGTGAAAATTTTAATGAGACTGCATGAAATCTGTAGAACAATTTGGGGAGAGCTAATATCTTACTTATATCAGATATCAAATCTTTCAATTCAATAACATAGTATATCTCTCTATTTATTTAAATCTTTAAATTACCTTAAATGTTTTATACAGGTGGTGCACACGTTTTATAAACAAATCTCCATATATTTAATGCATTTTGGTACTCTTGTAAATGGAACTTTTAAAATTCAATTTTCAATAATTTTCTGTATAAAAATGTAAGGATCTTTTGTATATTGACCTTATGACTTGTAATACTGCTACACTGACTTATTAGTTCTAGTATGTTGTGTATATTTCTTATGAGTTCCTATATATGTGCTAATGTCATCTGCAAATAAAGACAGTTTCATTCCTTCCTTTCAATTTGCATAATGTTATTTATTTTTCTTGTCTTACTGCACTGGTTAAGACTTCCAATACAATGTTAACTAGAAATGGTAAGAGTAGATAGCCTTACTTTGTACCTGATTTTAGGGGAGAATTAGTCTTTTGAAACTAAGTTTGATAATAATTATAGATTTTTCATAATGTCTTTTGTTAGTTTGAGGAAGTTCCCCTCTCTCCCTAATTTGCTGAGAGTTTTTATCATCAATTGATGCCAGATCTTGCTAAATATTCTGTATTCATTGCAAAGATCATAGGATTGTTGTATGATGTAAATATGGTGAATCACATTGATTTTCAAAAGTAAAACCCACTTTGCATTTCTGGGATAAACACTACCCGTTCATGACAAATTATCCTTTTTATGTTCAACCAGAATTGAATGGTTAATACTTTCCTTTGGCTTCCTGTTACCTCCATGTCTTTCCTAGCCCTCTTTTCCATTTTTCCCCCCATGGTACTCATGCTCCTTACAGTATGATCTTCTTGGATTGTCTCATCTGTATTCATGGTTTTCATTTGATTCTTCACTTTATAGTTCTGGGCTTTTTTCTTCCACAAGTTGTGACTCTAAATCCTACTCCCTGCTATACTCTCCTCCTAGTTGTCCTATGTGTATCACAGCCTCAACGTGTACAGAATCTATTGTTTCTTTATTTTCTTCCTTGCCAAAGCATATTCCTTATATGATTTTCTAACCCTACTTGATATTATTACCATCAACTCAATCTTACAAAACGTGTATCTAAAATTTAGCCTCAACTGTTTCCTTTATTTTACTCCCAAGATCCAATCAATCACTTAGGCTGTCTTATTTAATTTAATCCCAACTAGGTCTTAACTATTCTTCTTTTTTTTTTTTTTTTTTTTTGGTTTTTAAGTATCTCTTCTCTATTTTGTACTACAGTAGCCTCTTAACTCTTTTCCCAGTTCCATGTTATGCCATTCAAATCTATCATAATGATAGATTACAACATTTAATGGCTCCCCTTGGTCTAGTGGTCAAAGTCTAAATTTTTTAGTATAGTGTACAAGTCCCTTTGTTACCAACGTTTTCTTCCCAAGCCCTTATTTCAGTATTCTCTGAATCATATATTATACTAAAGAAATATAGAATACTTGAAATTTTCTGAACACACTTAGCTTTTGAATATCTCCACTTCCAGCTCATTGCTTATCACTCTGTAAGACAATCAAAATACTTAACATTCAGAAAATTTGTATGTCCTCTAACCCCCAACTCCAGTTTGGGTGAGTTGTTTCTACTCTGAACCGTTAAGTCACCTTGGAGACTTGTATTATTGTACTTATCACCTTGTACTGAAATTATCTATTGTATGTGTCTACATTCTGAAAATGAATATACTCCCTCAAGAGTAAGAATGTGCTCATTTTTCCTTCTATATTTAATTTCTACTTCTATATTCATTCTTGGCACAAAATATGTGGCGAACTGAATTGAAGGTTAGACTCCAATCTGAAAGTTAAATTTATTTTCTGAAGTAGTCAAAAGTAACACAAGAAGAGTGCTGTTCTGTGACTCAGAACACCTTGCATTCAGATCTAAATATTTATTTAAGGGGAAACAAGTGGGAAGCTGGTATTTTCAACACTTCAACTTCCTTCAAACACAATTATGAAGACGTATTTCTTACTCTGAACTTTGAAAAACACAGGGAAAAAAACAAGACAAAATTAACACAAGGAAGCAAAACCTCCACATTGGCTGGAGTGACATAAAATATTGTGGTTCACTGAAAAAACTGAGCTGGCTCCTGAAGAACAGCTGAGAGGATTGGGGTGGGCCAGAAACATTTACCTTATCCTTCTTAGCTAAAGGTTTTCACCAATTTTATAAGTGATAATCTTTTGCATGTTATTTGCTAGTTTTTGTAAATGATTTATGTTTAACTAAGTAACCAGTGGTATATGATTCTCATTATACAGTGTACATATAGTTTGCCCTGAACGTATCTTGTTTTTTTCTTCAAAAGTCGATGAATTCATTATCTCTAACATGATGTTAACAAAGCTTATTCTTCCTGAGTGGGAACTATGTCTGGCTCTCAAGCCTGTGCCTTTCATTAATACTACCGTTCCTTATTATTGGGCTGTCATTAGGTCCAGAGTATGAGGTCTGAATTAGGAAGCCTAAAAATAATTTAATGCCATTGTTTGTCTTTCTTCTTTACCTTCGGCTATTGTTGGAAATTATTTCTGAGGAGGATTTTCACACTAGAAGGTCATATAATTCTAGCAGTGGGAAATAGAGAGAGAGAGATGATCTAACAGCGGCCGCGCACTGCTGTTTCAGGAAGCAGATACTGTGGTATTGTTTTACTTGTTTGCTTCCTTGTTTAATTTGGGCCCTACATTTTTTGTTTTTATACTGGGCATACAATTTTCAACTCTTCTGCAGTTCCCAGGACTTGCTAATTTCTTACATCAGGTTGTTTTGTTATTTTAGTCATTAAAAATATGTTATTACTTATGAAGTCATTTGTATCTAGGATTTCAGATATAAGCTTGTTTGTTGTTTCTTTTTGAAAAAAAAAATGATGTTGCAAAAATAACACGAGTTGCCCAATTTTACACCCCTAGTCAAGAGATCCAGCCAAATAATGTAGTTTTCCTGAATATCAGACCTAGACAGTGTCTGACATGATTTGCTGTCTCTGGGTTTGTGGCCTCTTAGCTCTCTGAGATGAGAAACAGTTGAGATGGTAAGGGGAGTGGGTGACATAAAAATAAAAAGAAGCTGAAAGAGAAGTGCAACTTTTGAAACATTTACAAATGCATATGCCTGGATGTGTGGGTGTGGGTAGAGTAAATTTGTGTATGAGAGTAGGAAGGGAGATGTGCAATTTCTGGATACCATTTCCAGGGCTATGCCAACAAACTATGAATTTAAGCAGAATGATCAAGGACTATACTCAATAAAGGTGATTTACGCTGTGGGTCAAGTAATGAAATTTGGATCATATAAGAAAATTCGTAAACACTGACAATTTATCATCTAAGGCATATAATGAGAGTAATGGTAGGGGTAAGGAGAATGAAAACAGAAAGAAACAAAGGGAGATCATCAATTAAACTGCCGTGTTTGAAGGTGAGAAATATATGGCTTTTCCTGGGCTTCGAAATACGGCCTTTGGCCAAGTCTCAGCTGCAATGTCATCTTCAGTTGAGTTTTTTTTTTTTTTTTTTATGGATTTGTTCAAAAACTTGCTGCAGCGGCACCTTGCTATAATTTGCCCTGCCTGCTACAAAAGAATTACATTCAGCTCTCATCTAGTTACCTTTTCATGCAGATTTGTAATGCATTGTTTCTTGACTCTGGAGGATTTCATGACTTTAAAATACTGCCCTGTTCAGAAATTGCTTCAGAAGAGCAGTCCAAACCAAACTGAGACTCAGAAGCTCACATTAGTTAACACATTTGACGTGGAGTCCTATTTTCAGCATACCCTTGAAATACCTTTTACAGTGACTAAGTGCCATGAGTAGAAACATCAGAGATTATATATGCCAGTGTCATTACACTTATCCACAAAGGACACAACTCTGGGTGTGGATAATAAAGGCAAATTTAGCAATCACAGATTGTCAAGTTTTAATTGTGCTTATGGTCTATCTGCAATGTACAGAAAAGATTGGTGTGATTCTTGGAATAACAATACGTGAGAGTTCCTTTACCATATTGTCTGTTTTATAGCCTTTTCATGTTATCCAAGTCACTGCAGGTATGGCTTTGTGCATGAGAGCCAAAAATTCTAGACTAGTTATGATAAGATTTTCAGTCAAAATTATCCTTGGCAATTCAAAACATTTCTTGGGAGTTCATTGTCAAGATAAAACAACAACAAAAAACAGTCTCAGAACTCTGTCTGACTTTTCTGGCCACGATTATGTGTAGTGAGCTTTGAAATTACTCACACTCTAATTAGAACCCTACATCTGCGTTCTACCTTCTTTGTATTGTGTGTTTATGTGTCATTATTTTATTTTTTAAATTTTAATCTAACTTAAATTATCTGATTATTAATTTTCTCATCTGTAGAGATATAGTATTGTTTTAATCTATATTTCTGATGCATAAGATTACATAGATAAAATACATTAGGCTTATGTAAGTATTCATAAAGAAATGACCAATATTAATTGTAATTATAATAAAGCCCTTTCCCTCAGCATGATCAAACAGCTTTTTTGTCTTATGTTTTAGACTGATCATTATAGACTCCTACAGAACTTTTTAAAAGTGAAGAATCATGTTCCCTTACTCCTACAGTTTTAAGTTCAGTCTGAGATAAGGCCCAGGAATCTGAATTTTGACAAGTTTCCCGGTTTCCCTAATGATCAATCAAATAAATTTTGAAAGACAAATCTGGCACAAAAGGATTTGTAGGAAAAATAACAGAGAAAATTAATGTAAGATCAATCTTCCTTAAACAAAAATACTCGTTGTCTAAGACAAGTGCTCTATTGATGTAGCCACTAATTTGTTTTTCAAGTAACTAGCATATCTAGCCAACCTGGTATTAGTGAAGGAAACTTGAGACTAGGCATACACAAACGGCTTTAATAAAGGCTGATCTTTTTCTTGATGGATTCTCTGATCAAATCCTCCATTTGAAGGGAAAAATAAAAACCATGGAACGTCTTACAAAACACCCAATCATTAGTTTCTCCATTACACATTTCTAATTTCTTTTTCTTCCCTCGCCCCTTGTATATGCTCTGAGCTGGAAGGTTTATTCTTTGATTTACAATGTGGCATAGTGTAGAGAATAAAAGTTTTAGGAACAAGAACTGCTATTTCAAAAGTCTGACTCCACCACCTACTGAGTGACTTTTGGCAAGTTGCCGGAGCTCTTTCCTAGGAAGTTGTCACACTCCTTCTGGATCAATGCTTCCTTAGGTATCCTGTGAACTACACTGTACTGAACAGCTCACTGACCACTACTTGTGCACCGTACTGAACAGCTCACTGGCCACACTTTGCAATTGAAGGAATTAAAATTCACAGAAAAAAAATAAACAGATATATATTCAGCAAGATAGAAAATTAAATTCTAAGAGTGGACGTGGCCTCCAAATTTTCCATTAAGATAATTCCAGGTTATTACAGACCACAGACACAAGGAATATATAGCTATTCAAAATTACATTAATAATTATTAGGATGCTATAATAGGAAAAAAGAAGCAAACTAAATATAACATGGTTTCAATTTTGTAATATATAAAGATCTTTAAAAATATTAACATTCTTGGTGGAATGATGATTTTATATTCTTACTATTCTCTTATATTTTTTGAATGTTCAATGATGATGATATGTTACTTTTCTGTTCAGAAATATAATAAACATTTGTTTTTGTTTTTTCATTGCACCAATTTAGCCGATGCAGGATTTTTCTTGCTTCAACATCAGGCTTCTGTCTGATATACCAACATGCCAGAAGACCTCCCCTGTACCCAGTTGCTCTCCTTCCCATAATTCACAGAGATTAAAGCTTTGTAGGACATATGCCTTTCTTTGTGATGAACTAGGAGAAAAACAAAAAACTTAATTGATTATGATTGATTCATAACTGTTGTCTATAGTTATATGGAGAGAGAGGGGACTAAGAAGAGCTATAAGCATAACAGGTGACACCAAGTCCAAATTTAAATTCAAAGGATTGTGTCTACTGAGAGGATCCTGGCAGAATTTAGCCATGGGGGCAAGCAATGAAAGAATCACTGATTTTTCAAGGATTGTAACACTCACTATGGTTTAGAAAACAGGACTATAAAATAACCAAAAGAATTTGCCAACTTCCCCACCTTCCCCTCCAAAAAAATGAATTAGTAAGAAACAAAACTGAAACCAAGCTAAAGTTATACTAGTATAATTAACTTCAAATGCTGGGGGGCTGTTTCATCATTACAAAAAGATGTCCACATGGCTGATGCTCAAAGGTAAGTTGTCTGCAAAAAGAAAAGGATGAAAGAATACTTGAACAAATTCATTTTAAAATTAACTGGGCTGAGCTGAAAATAACCTCCATATCCTTTTAAAATGTCCAGTCCAGTGTGTACTACATCTGGATAAAAAGCTTTTTTGAAAAAAAATCAGTTGCTGCACAGAAGTTTCTATGTGAATGAACTAATATGATTATAAGGGAGAAAATGCATTGTTTTTGTTTTGTGTTGTTTTGTTTTTATGAAATGTGTCATACTTCTTTGCTTAAATATGGCCATTAATAAACTAATATATTATTTAATTGAAATGAATATATTCTTATGAGTTTTTTTGAAAGAAAAACTATAAATGATACCTAGGACCAAAAACAAATTTTAAATTAAAACTGAAATAATATTTTACTCTGTATTTTTTTACTTATCTCATTTTACATTGTAAGTACTTAAATTTATAATTTTATGGTTCTATTTTATTTACTTTTTCACCTGAGTTTGGAAAATAACATGCACATATATGTACAACACTCTTTAGAAATGACCGTTTTTCACTACTACTTTCTAGATTGTTAAATTATACTTATTATGTACTGGAGTCTATTTCTGTCTCTTTTTTACACACTTTCCATGATGCTAGATGTGGGTACATCTAGATCTGGGTGTGACTCAAGACCACCAGATTCTCCTAAACATCAATATGGGAAGTGAGTAGGGCAACTGTGTGAAGCAAATCTCCCATGAGGGTGCAATTTGAAGCTTAGTGTGAGGCTACATCTAAAGAGAAATGTTTTTCTCCTCCTTAATTAAACAATATATTTGGACCATTCATATGTGTAAAGGCGTTATTCCACTGAAATACATATATGTGTATCAGGAGGTAAATGCATTAATACTCCATCATTTATTTAGCAAATATTTATGAGCATCTACAATAGACCCATTGGTATGTGATTTTGACCCACAAAAAGAAAAAACGCAAAAATTAAGAGAAAGACAACAAATGCCTGAATTTTGTCAGTTTTCCAAGTAGAGGGAACCCCACCATTAAAGGCAAGGACACGTTGAGGGAACCCTATCGTCAAAGGATCTGAAAGATCAGAAAACAGTAACTAGCTCAGTGTGGACAAACAGGGGATAGGTATACAGGATGCAGGATAATGGAGAATGTGACAAAATAAGTAAGTAGGGCCTGATTATGGGACCTGACCCACTAGCACAGACTAGCTTACCAAATTTTCTTTTTTTCCTTTTTTTTTTTTTTTTTTTTTTTTTTGAGACGGAGTCTCGCTTTGTCACCCAGGCTGGAGTGCAGTGGCGAGATCTCTGCTCACTGCAAGCTCCGCCTCCTGGATTCAAGCCATTCTCGTGCCTCAGCCTCCCGAGTAGCTGGGACTACAGGCGCCCGCCACCATGCCCGGCTAATTTTTTGTATTTTTTAGAGACGGGGTTTCACCGTGTCAGCCAGGATGGTCTCGATCTCCTGACCTCGTGATCCGCCGCCTCGGCCTCCCAAAGTGCTGGAATTACAGGCGTGAGCCACCACGCCCGGTCTAGCTTACCAAATTTTCTAGCTGCCACCTCTCAAATCTTGAGCCTTGATAGAATGACTCAATTAAGAACATGAGAAATATCACCATAATGTGTGTGACCCCCTGAGCAGAATGCCAATTATCAGGGCATCTATGGAATTATGGTGGAGAGGTGTCTCAGCCTTGTATATATCAATCTGAAAGTTCTAGGATATCTGCAAACCTCATTTCCTAAAAAAAGCTCATCATGTTCAGGTCAACATGAGTCACTTAAACATGTTTGAAGCTATTGATATAGTCCTCTCAAATCTTCTCATAGAAAAATAAGTTTCATAGGTTTACTACCTAAATAACAAGGTAATACTTTATTTTATTGATTCGAAATTAACATTAAGATATTAAAAATTATCTCCTAGTTTTAGACATTGCGATTCAATCTCCAAGCCAGTTAATTTCATTATTTTATGGAGGTTGATCACAACTCCATTTTAAACTCATCTTCTTATTATGAAAACACTAAGGAATAACCTCCAGTAACTATCCCAACTATCCACTTCAAATAGTGCACTATGAGATATTTTAGGCGTAGTACACTGTCTAAAGTTTGAAACTTCCCTGTAAGTACCAACTACTAGCTTATTTACTAAGACCTTGATGGATTGTACCTGGTTTCAATGGTTACTCAGTCTAATTTTAGCTGTGTCACTAGCAGAGTACAAATTCCCCCCTCTGCCCCCATTCCATAAATTTGTGCCTGATCGCTCTTGAAACCAAAATACTTCCCACATCTATTTGTGGTTAATGATCCAGATAAACATATCCTTTTTACCTGTTGAAAAAGGACCCTGGGGAGTTGTACCTGGAAGTCTTGGACCCTTCAGTAACTGCATGTACTTTTTTTCTCTTGCTACACCACAAACTTTATTTTTGTTAAAGCCTTATACGAGCAGACCTTAGTGAGTCCTGTGAGAGTTTTCAACTCTATAACCTTGTATAGATGTTGTACCTACCTATACTCCTCCATCCTAACCAAGGTGTCAGACTTTCTCATACCTTTCAACCAAAGTAATTTTTACATGCCAGAGGCCCTCAGAAACTTCTAAGGTATAGCTTGAATATTTCTTTGACATTTTGTGTTTATCTGTAAATATATAAATTATATTATTTCTCAAAATATTACCATGAGATTGTTATGCTGAAAAAATGTGCATCGTATTTCTCCTATGGGTTTCTTATATCCTCAGGATTCCTTCCCAGTCCTAGAATATCCTTTTCGGATCTGGTTAGGGTGATCAACCATTCAGATTTGCCTAGGACTGAGAAGGTTCAAGGGACATGGGACTCTCAGTGCTAAAACTACTAAAGTCCCAGACAAACTGAAAGCAAATGGTCACCCTAGATCTTAGACTTTTATGACTGAATATTAAATGATGACTTTTTGTTTTCCCATAAATTTACTAAAAAATGAGTTAGATTTATTGTGACAAGAGTTCATCTTTTCCAGGAAAACATTTATCCTACTGTCTTTGTTCATTTTCTATTGCTAAAACAGATATCACAAACTGGGTAATTTATAAAGAAATGTATTGCTTACAGTTCTAGAGACCTGGAAGTTCAAGGGCATGGTGACAGCTTCTGGCAAGGGCTTTCATACTACATCACAACATGGTGGAGGGCATCACCTGGCCAGAGAGCAAGAGCATGTGTGTCAGCTCAGGTCTCTTTTCCCTTTGTTATAAAGCTTGCAGTCCCATCATAGGAGACTCACCCTGATTAACTTATCTAATTCCAAGTATCTCCCAAAGGCCCTAGCTCCAATCAACATATAAATTAGAGGATTCCAGTTCTACCACATGACATTTGGGAGACATATTCAAATAATAACACCCATTAAAAATGGGGTTGCTTGTAAAGATCATTGACTGATTTCACTGTGTTCAAGTAACTAAGAGTTTGCATGTGAAAATGAAAAAAGTAACAGATTCATCAACAAGAATTAGATTGGAAGTCAAAAGGCCTAGATTTGAATACTGGATCTACCATATAACTCACTGCTGTATTTATTTATTCAACGAATGTTTATTAATCTCCTGTTTCTTGCCAACACTGTGCTAAGCTACTAGGGAAACAGAACAATAAGTAAGATAGCCCCCACCATCATGGGCTTACATTCAACTAGACAAATGATTGTTAAAGCCCCACTCAGCTTTAAAGTCCTATGGCTACTCTTACCTTATTCCATCATTTAGCAACCTGACCTTGCCCTTTCCTAACTATCTCCCCTCCCTATGGGCTTAAACTCTTATAAATGTGGAATCGTTGTCTCAGATAAAAGCTATTCTCATTCCTGAAGTAATGAGCTAAAGGAAAGATGCTTCTTCAGCTTTTCTTTATTCAACATAAATATGTCATCTGTGATCTTAGAAATACTGTTTTTCCTTGACATTGGGATTGAGATGACCACTCGGAACAAATGCCTAAAGTCATTGCCAAAAATATTTTATTTAATAAAATTAAGGAAATGTATATACCAATACAACTCTTTGGAAGAAAGTCAGGATTTAAGTTCATATATTCTCTAATATGTGGTTAAATATTTGAACTTAATTCTCTTGCCCCCTAAATCAGAAATTCTTCTGATTCTTTCTAAATAAAAATTCAAAAAGTGAAGTTTTATATTCTCACTGTTAATGCTGTTTAAGCAACACATTTTAAAAGAGCAACATTGAGGTGGTGAGCCAACTTTTAAGGGGGTGCCATCTGCAGGAAATCTAACAACTAGCTGAATTCAGTGAAAGAGGATACAAGCTCTGTCTGGATTTTCTAGGATGGACTTGAATTTGACATGATAACAATGTAACAATACCAAGCAGAGCAATGATACACCTGTGTTCATGTCTTCTGAATTATTATATCTACAACTGCAACTTTTCAGCTATTTACATACTTCTGTGTCTCTAAATAACATCTACTATGTAGCAAGAATAGGGATTTGTTCTGGCTTTGCCTATTCAAGAAACAAATCTTGTCTTCCCACAGTAATATGCTGCAGAATTGGGAAAACAAATATACTGATTGAACTGCTTTTTTTCATGCAACCATAAATTTATGTATCTTTATCTATTAGCATAAGCTTTCCCTTTTGTGCTACATTTCTCTGCACCTCAGATTACAATTTGTATGTTCCCTCTTTGGGTAACTGAACATGAAGGTGACCAAATACCAACTCTGAATATGTAAATTGGGAGAACCATAGTTACTCATGTGAATGCATCATTCCAAAGTGTCAAACTCAGTCTTCTTGGACAATAAATAACTGTGTAGTAGTTCTACAGTTTTGTATTCAACTTTTATGTGTGAACATAATCTTTAAAATGCATTAAGAGTTTTTCTGCAAGCATACAAAGTTTAAACACTCTCGTGTGACCTGACTGACTCCTAGGTTGTCTAAACCTAAGACTGAAGGGTTTCAAAAGATTTTGTTGAGTCCAAATTTAAGCAAATTCACAAGCCTAGAAGCAGAATGATGAAATGTGTGTTATATTTTACTCATCAAAATTAAAGCTGAGCTATAGCTTATGAATTTGTTGGTGCAAATTTCACAAACTCATGCAGTTTTTCTCTTAACCTGCATTAACGGTTTCAACACTTTACAGAGTGACAGTGCTCTGTATTTTTGTCAGAAATCCAGCTTTTTACTAAAAAATGAAAGAAAAAAGGAGCAAGGATGCATCAATACTAACATGAATATGGAGTTAGCATATTAAAATTCATGAAGTCCTGTCAACTGAACTGATGCAAACTCTAGTTGCCCAAAATACATGATGACATTGCAAGCCAACAAAGATGAAAACAGCTCGAGAAAACTTTTTCTGATGCTATTTCATTCCTCTGAATATCAAGTAAGCTGCCTTTCTCCAGGTGGGGCCACATGCAGGTTCACCATTCTGTAAAGTTAGGCTGGAGCTGGTTTTCCAAGCCCAAGAGTTTTCTATCCCTCTGTTCTTTTTGCTCCATTCTCAGCATGCTCACTGCATATGGAACAGAAAAAAATCTCTGAACCGTGATCGCATTTTTCTCAGACAAGCAATGTCCTCTCTTGTCACTTGACTTGAATTGAAACCAAACAAGCCCCACAGATACATTTGTATTCAGACTCAGTAAAACGCTCCTTTATAATATTGTCTCAGGGACTATTCCAAAGAGCTCTGACTGGTTACCTTAACACGGGAGGCTGACTTAATGCGATCTGGGAATGAGGTAGAAGATACACAAGCCTGCTAGAATTCTGACAAGCCCTTAGGTAATGATCTAATAAAACATGGCTACAATTGTTAGTAGTTTAAACTGGCGAGTTTCTGAAGTTTTGCAAATTAAATAGGACAAGTCAATTTTTTCTAATTTGTAAATTAAATAGGACACATAAATGCTTTGAAATCCCGGGCTCTGTCACTCACATTTTCTCAGAATCATCAATCATCATGAATCCTTTCATTAAAGCTCTTACAAAATGTGATATATTCTTACACACAGTTTGAAAAGAGTCTTGAAAAAACTCCTTAAGATCAAAGACCATGTCTGCTGTAGATTCTGTGAAATATTTAGCATTTGGCTAGCACAATACAAGTTTAATTATAATCGCAAGAATAATTATGTATACATTCAGAAGGGACTTTGGGAGGTCAAAAGCTCAAAGACCCACCTTCAGGCTATGTGGCTGCAAAGCCTTCTCTGTAGATGAGAATTTATCCTATTTAAGAGAGCTCTAAAAATGAAAATCCCATAGCTTTCTACTTACTCCTTAATATATATAATCTGTCTTGGTTAGAAGTTTTCTTCCTTTAACATCTACTCTTTTATTATTGGGCTTACACATTCATTATATAGAATAGAGTGGTATCTAATAGAACTTTCTGTGAAAATGGTGTGTTCCATCTTACTGTAATATAGTAGTTACTAGCCACATGTGGCCATTGAACACTTGTGGCTAAAGCAGCTGAGAAACAGAATTTAGAATTTCAAGTTTAATTTTAAAGTGAACATAAATAGCCACATATGTCTGGTGGCTGGTCTTTTGGACAGTGTATAATTCAAGAAAATATGTTCATCATTTTTTAAGTTAAAATATTACCTTCACTTTTTTGTTTGTTCAACAGATATTTAAAAGGGAACCTCCCTTTATAAAAGGAGTGTATCCCATGCCAGACACAGTTCTAGGTAGAAGGAATACATTTGTGACTAAAAGGGAAAGAGCTCCATTAATACAAACTTACTTTCCAGTGGGGGGAAATAAACAAAATAATTAGAAATAGCATAAATATAATAAAGGAAAACAAGACAGTAATGTGAAGAAGAGTAACAAGCTGGTTGTTAAACATGCTATTTTAGATAGAGTTATCAGGTGAGTGCTCTTTGGAACAAGGACATTTGAATTGAGACCTGGATGATGAGAAAAAGTCACTTCTGTTCAGATCCAAGGAAAAGTATCCCAGGAAAAAGGGATGAGCAAGGGCAAATGCCTGAGGCAGAACCTAGTTTGGCACATCAGGGAAGTGGGAAGGCCAGCATGACTGTAACTCAATAAAGGATGGAAAAGGAGAATGAGATAAGATAAAAGAAGCAAACTGAAGTTAGGTCAGGGCTTTAGAGATCGTAGGAAACAGCTGCTTTTATTCTGAAGAAATAGAAAACGTTTCAAGGCCTGAGCGCGTGCTCTGATTTACATGTCATAAAGATAACTCCTAATGCAAGAATATAGATTATCAGATTGTAAGGAAGAAGCAAGGGAGTACTCAAAATGACGGCCTTGTGATAAAGAGCAATGGCAAGAGGTAGACAACGTGGAATAGTCTATATTCCAGAAAATTTTGCAGATAAAAACTGATGGATGAGTGGATGGGGGAGAAAAATTAAGAAAGAGCCTTAGGACTTTGATTTTAGGAACTTGTTGACTGAGATGGAGAAAACTGAGGAAGGCATAAGCTTGTAAGGGTTAAATCAAGAATTAAATCTTAAATATGTTGTCATTAAGATGCAAATGGCATTAAGATGTCAAATCCTTAAGAAATAAGATACAAATCTGAAGCGTATGCTAACAATATGCATTAGAAGTCCTCAGCAGAGTTGGTATTTAAAGACATAGGACAGGATATGGTCATTTAGGGAAAGTATGCAGATAAAGAAAAGAGGTCAAAATAGTTACAGGGGAATAGTTAGAGCAATAGTTACAAAATAGTTCAGCAATAATTACAAAATAAAGGGGAAGATCATAACTAAGCCTTCTTGTAGGCCTATTTACTTTAGACAATGCTTCCAGAACCTACTCTGAATTATAATCATCGTGTGGCTAGAATTTGAAACCTCTATATAAAATGTACAGGTCTAGACACTTCAGTCACATCAATTTAACTATAGTTCAGCAAATACATTATTGATTCAGATGTCTATGATTTTATACACATCATCATTTGGTCTAAAAGTCAGTATTTTTGCCTACACTCTCCCATTACCAATAAGCTGAAAATTTCAACTCTTCCTTCAAGAATTCATTAATAGATCCTTCTCTGTTCCCTGACTCCTTTGTGAGTGACCTTGTGACTAACTCTGTTGCAGCCATTATTTGTTTTCAGATCAACCTGCCAAAATAATGTAAACACTTTGAGAATAGATATTATAGTCATCTTTGTATCTCTAGTATCTAGCACAGAGTTTTATTTATTCAGGGGCAATAGGATAGTTGCTACTTCAAAACTATGCTAGTTTCTCTTCTAAATCCTGCCTCACAATAAGAGAATTCTCTTCAAGCTCAGCACAAGCAATATCACTTATATTTTCTTCTCTGGGCTTCTTGGGGTCATCTTTTCTATTTGTAAGTTTGCCAAAAGCATAATTAAGATTCTCAATCCAAAAGAGATTCATTGCTCTTCAACTAAAAAATATTGTGTTTCCGTTGTGTTTCAAGCTTTCAGAACAAGACTCTCCTAATAAACTTGTTAAAAATTCTTATTTCCCAGATTCACCTTTTGAATTCTGAACCTGTATGTCTGAGTTGGATTTTAGAAATGTGCAGTTTTATTTAGTGTCCTAAGAAATGCTGATGGAGGGAGACCTTTTGCAACATCTTGAGCAATAGTTCAAGGGTTGCAAAAAGCAATCCCATTCTCCATTTGGACTCAAAGGCACCTAGTAACACAGACACAGAAAGAGTCATATTAAATTACATATTATTTAGAGGAAAATTATTTAGAAAACAATTTTAGAAAATGTCTAATTACCAGAACTTTTTTTCTTAATTCCATTTTAGAGAGGGCTAAGTAAAAATGCATTCTAATATTGTTGTCCCTGTATCTAATCAGATATCTGTATAGAATGCAAAATTATGCACAAATTCAAAGACAAGTTGTTAGTTCTATTTGTCATCCCATTCTATAGGTGGCTTTCTAAAAATCTATGAAATTTATAGCATTAATCTACTCTTTCTTTTAAGCATGTTTTTCTTCTTAATACCAATAGATTATTTATAGCCTCATGACACTTAGACAATCAAAATTTTGGTCATTCTATTAGCTCAGTGAAAAAAGAGAGAGAGAAAGCTACACAAACCTGAGAAAGAACACCTAGCTATTTCAAGTGATAAACATATAGCACGGGATGCCAGAGGAGATCAGAAACAGCTGCAACAGCCATGGTTCCATTCATCAACAAAGCCGATTCTGCTGCCCTGGTAAGCGCTACAGAAATCCCCTTCCTTGTATCTAAACCTGTGTTTCTTCCAAAGCGCTGTATTTTGACAAGACAGACCTCCCTAACTCAGGAGGACCAGTCTGTTCAAGGGGACATAATGAGATATTCTCTTTGAAAACTTCGATCTGAAAATATCTAACAATATTTTAAATACAGTTCTTTTATAAGCGGATCATCCACTCAAAAGCAAAACTCAAATGCTGATATGTAGCAACAGCTGGTTCTGAGTTTTACATGAATGGCAATGACTGGTGCAGACCTGAGGTGTTATCAACTGTGCAGTTTCAATAAGATAAATTAAGAGCCTACATCTTTATCAGTAACTGAACCAGCGAGTTCACATAGCTCTAAAGATAATTTCTATGCATTTTTGAGGTTGCAGGATCTACCCATCTGTAGTTCAATAACTACAGCAGCACTAAAACCTCTGATCAATAGCCCAAAGCTAAATAGTGACCCAGGAGAAAATCTATTTTTGCCAGAAATGTTTGAATCTTTTCCTAAGTGGTGGACCACAGTCACCACCAAAGTATTTACCCTGATTAACTCCTCATGTACAATTCCCTCAGGATGAATTAAAAGTATTTTCTACCCAATCTTCTAAACGGTAAATTCTCTAATTTCCCCCAAATTACTGTCGCATTAGTCAGCTGGCCGATCCTTTAAAACTTCATGCTGGGATTCTTTCCAACAAATTTCAAAACTGAGCTGTTAAATCTAATATGCTCTCTAAGAAGTAAGCAGATGTTTTAGGCACAACTATTTCTCAATAGATCACAGTCTTGCTTTGGTCCAGCTTGCTGTAAAAATAATTAACAAAAATGTAAGACTTTTCAGTATTGCTTCAGTATTCCAACACATGTTAACTCTAAAGAAATGGCTATGGCATAAAAGTGGACTCTTGATTCTCTTACAGAATGGATGAGATTAAGTGTAGCAAAATGTTGCCATTGATAAACAGTAAAAATTAAAGGTGAAAAGAGTCAATGAAACAAGATTATCAAAGGCTCTATATAAGTATTGGGTTTTTTTATTCTACAGGCAATGGAAGATCATTGAAGAATTATGAGAATGAGAGTTGCTTATTCCTACCTCCAGCCTCAGTGCATTCTAGAGATGCAAAATGATTGCATGCTTGAGATGTGAAAAGTATGAAATGGTTACCATGGTCATGGAGGTAGTGTAGCATCATGTATAAAATCCCAGACTAAGTGTAACTATCACTTAGAATTCTAATTCTGTTACATATTAGCTGTATGACTTTGGGCAAGCTATTACATCTCTGCACATCATTTTCCTTGTGTATTAAGAAAAGGAATAATAATGGCATCTTAAGTAAAACATCTTATCAGGATTTCATACCATCTTAAGCACTACTGATGAGCAGTGCTTAGAACAGCACCTGATACATAGTAATCCCTCAATAAATGTTAGTTATTAGCATTACTATTAATGTACTACTTACTGTTTGGTGTGCTCTTTATGTATTATCTGATATTATCCACAAAATACATTAACAAAATAATTTAATATTAATTATTCAATAAATAACTCCTCACAATGATCCTTATTTTATAGCAGAGGTAATTGATACTCAAAGACATTAAATAATTCTACAAGGTTGCACATCTACTAGGTTAGAAAGCCAAGACTGCAATGGAGTCTTCTGACTCTAGAATCTGTGCTCTTCATCACCACTCTTTTCTTCATTGAGCAGCTTTATTAATACAATTAGATGAGCATAACAAGGAAGAAATGCATTTCATCAATATTCTCCAGGTGATGAATTACATGGCATTAGCTAGATCTGTGATAACATCATTTAAGATGTTCTGTTAGCCAAATATTTTATCTTTCCATCCACACAAACACAAACAACCAAAATTCTTAAGAACATTTACCTTAAGTAATCTTTAAATCTCCAAAAATTACATTTCAAAAAGTCTACATCTGATAATCTATCAACTTTACATATCCCTTTATCTTCCCATTCCAGTTCCTTCTCTCTAATAATTGGCATCATTAGGGCTGTGCTTTAAACAGATTTCTACATCATCAGTAAGCTGGTTGGATTGAACCAGGAAGAGACCAGGAAAATGAGCCCAATTCAGAAGCTACTGCAGTAGTTTAGAAAAATAAAAATGGTCTGAACTACAGGAATAGCAACAGTAATTTTTAAAAGAAACAAAAAACAGGAATGAGGTGCTGTAGAACTAAAACTGAAGGAAGCTGATGGTTAAGTTTATGTAGAAGGTAAAAAAGGGGAGGGAGGAAGCTTTGATCCAGGATGACCAGTATGATATAAATAACATATTATGTGGAACCTTAAAAAAGTTGTAGGGCAATAAACACACGTGTGCACGTGTCTTTAGAGCAGCATGATGTATAATCCTTTGGGTATATACCCAGTAATGGGATTGCTGGGTCAAATGGTAATTCTAGTTCAAGATCCCTGAGGAATCACCACACTGACTTCCACAATGGTTGAACTAGTTTACAGTATGTTTATTGCGGCACTATTCACAATAGCAAAGACTTGGAACCAAGCCAAATGTCCAACAATAACAGACTGGATTAAGAAAATGTGGCACATATACACCATGGAATACTATGCAGCCATAAAAAATGATGAGTTCATGTCCTTTGTAGGGACATGGATAAAGCTGGAAACCATCATTCTCAGCAAACTATCGCAAGGACAAAAACCAAACACCGCATGTTCTCACTCATAGGTGGGAATCGAACAATGAGAACACATGGACACAGGAAGGGGAACATTACACACCCGGGCCTGTTGTGGGGTAGGGGCAGGGGGGAGGGATAGCATTAGGAGATACACCTAATGTTAAATGACGAGTTGATGGGTGCAGCACACCAACATGGCACATGTATACATATGTAACTAACCGGCACATTGTGCACATGTACCCTAAAACTTAAAGTATAATAAAAATAAAACATAAAAAAAAATAAAAATAAATAAAAAAAGTTGTAGGGCATAGAAAAGCACACCCAAAGGCAGCCTGAAAACCCAAAACCACCCTGGAAAAGAATATTAATCACAATGCTTTCTTGAGTCCTGTGTCCCATTACCTTGATTACATGCTCTAAATTTTCAGCATTGGATCAAAGATTTTAGCCTATTGTTTGCTAGTTTCTAAACTTTTAGTAACCTTTTGTAGTCCTAATGGCTGCCTCCTCACAATTCCTGCCTCTGAGAGTATGGATCAAAACTTCAAACTTCTCAGCAATCCCCTATTCCTGGCTTTTATTCTGAAGTCAATAGGTAAAAATGAAAGCAAGATAGATGATGAACTGTAAAAGAGTGGGAAGATAAGTCTGATTTTGAATTCACCCATATTTAGCTATTAAGAGTATAGTCCAAATATAGGTCTATGACTTTTAGTAGAAAGAAAATAGAGAGATATATTTTGGAATCCTCTAAGTAGGGAGGATTGCCTAGCTACAAAAGTAAATGAGGATTCCAAGAGAGAAGTATTTAGACAGAAAAGAGAACTGGCCTAAGAATAGACTACAAGGGAATGCCTACATTTAGAGGAAATCAAGCCTGGAAAAAAGACCCAGAAAGAATATTAGAGTAGTAGGAGCTTAACCAGAAGTGTGATCTCACAGAAATCAAGAAAGTGGAGTTGGACATGGTGTTGCGTACCTATAGTCTCAGTTACTTGGGAGGCTGAGGAGGGAAAAATCCCTTAAGCCCAGGAATTCAAGACCAGCCTGCAAAACATAGTGAGACCCTGTCTCAAAATAAAAGAAAAAAGAAACCAAAGAAGTGGAGATTGCCAACAATGTATTCAAATTCAGAGGACTATAGTGGATATGCATTGTTTTGGGTTGCCCACATTCCTGTCCTCAGATAACAGCACTTCCTCCCCTCTTCTTGCAATGAGAGAACATCTGCTTCTCAATACCAATTGTGGTTCCAATTGGGGCCATCCATTTTAATACTATTCCCACCCTCGCCTGAGACACAGGTATGCTAAGAGTCCCAAACGTGACCAAACATGGTACTTCAATCCCTGACCACAACTCCTGAGCCTCATAGAACCAAAGTCCAATTTATTTGAATCCTTCCCCTATACATGGAAGGAAGGGATGAGGAAGAATTCTCCTTAAGGTTGACAAAGCTGTAAAAATATGAGTTTGAAACATGTGACTAGTGGTGACTAATGGTTTTTTCCTCAATAATTTGGAAAATCTAGTCCTCAGTAGCATATTCAGAAAGAAGTAAAGAGAGATTGCAAGAGACATTTCTGACAGCTCAAATCCCAGGGAGTCCTATTTCTGCATTGATTCTTGCTTTCCTATGACTGATTTTTTTTACTACTACTTTCTTTTAATTTGCACACTTCCCTAGAATCACTGTAATAAATGCCCCCTCCTGTCTTTTTTTTTTTTTTAACCTTGTTCTATCTCTTCACAGTAAGGCTTTTGCCACAAACAACTAAGAATCCTGACTAAAGGAGAGATTACTGAAGGGAATGAGAAGAAGCTGCAAGATTTTATAACTTGTAGTTTGTAGGTAACCTGAAGGAAACTGGAATCAGAAAATTGTTGGCAATAGAAAATAGATGTCAAGGTTAAGGACAAAAGTGTGGTGAAGAAGTGAATCAGTAAAGGTGAGCTGGATTTCTGACAAATGTGGAAGGAAGAAAAGGGGCAGTAATTTTAAAGAATAACAGGTTTATAAGAGAACGTGCTCCCTCTTACCACACATACATACACAATTCTTTATAAATTAATAAATATTTTATTATGAAGGGGTTGTGATATTGTGATTCGAAAAAGTACACAGCTCCTCTTCAGTATTTGTCTGTGTCATTTTCTAGTAAACATAAACAAGGTCAATCAACCCTGTAGAGTTAATATAAATTTTCAGAAAAAAAAGTTTTGGTTTCATTGGTATTTTTTAAGTGATTTTGTTTCTGTGTTCAAAATATATTTATTAAAGTTTCTTTTGAAAATGACAGGGCTTTTTTTTTTTTTTTTTTTGCTACGCTGAGGGAAGCCGACAAAAGAATTTTAGTTGATTTGGGTACCATATCATTAACAGAGGAACACGGGGGGTTCCTGTGGATGACAGATGGTCAATAAATATGCGGAACTTACTACCATAGAGTTGATTCTCCGTCTCCCTATCTGGAGTTCTCCTCTCAAAGCTCTGGTTCCTCAAACCTGAAACCTAGGGGTGGAGGTGAAGGAGATGGTGGTCTTCATACAGAAAATTGGGTCTCTGAGCAGATTTTAGTAGAGAAGAGGACTCTGCAATTCACTTCAGGGAAAGGAGAGGAACCCCTCACTGTTACCACACTGTGGTCAGCGTGAAAGTTTCCACTGCAGCTTACAAAACAAACCACAATATGTATGCAGACCTATACTATCCAATTTTATTTTTACAACATCCCTGTGAGAAAGCCAGAGGAGATGTCATCATCCACTTTTAAGACATAAAGCAAAGAAGGTTCACACAGATTTATGTGATTTACCAAAATCATTCAACCACTAAGCAGGAAAGCCAAGAATTCAGCCCAGATCTCCTGACACAAACTCCAGACTGTACGCATTTCCCTTGCCTCTTCTGTTCTGAAGTTTTTAGCTGCTTCTCTACTGTGACAAAGGCCAGTGGCATAATTAGAAACATGTCTTTTACACCTTTGACTTCTTAAATTTTACACAAACCATGGGAATGGATCTTCCTCATTTTGGAGTTCTCTCTGTCTGAATTTAGGTGTTTGGGATACATTCATTCACATGCACAAACGCATTGTTGATGGCTTTTTCCAATTTAAGGAAATCATACTAGCTACCAGAAGCAGCAACTGATATTTATTATGCACCCACTGCGTGGCAGATATTTTGTAAATATGATCTTACTTAATCCTAAGCCTTAAGACATGGGCATTCACTTCTAAGAAAAGGCCACCAAGTGAAGAACCAGGATACAAACCCATGTCTGGATTAGGTCACTAAACTATAATGAAAAATGACATTGGTAAAAATACTAGTCCCTAGGTCACACCTCAACATCTTCTCTTTAGAGGAACTTTCTTTGTTTGCTATAAATTTCTTTAGATGAAGATGATGTTGGATTTGTATTCAAAACAGTATAGATCTTTAAAAGATATGTGGGCTTCAGAGGAGAGGCCTCAGTTATGTTACGCA
Organism: Homo sapiens; assembly: GCF_000001405.40. Lineage (NCBI taxonomy): Eukaryota > Metazoa > Chordata > Mammalia > Primates > Hominidae > Homo > Homo sapiens. The sequence continues at coordinate 115,619,214 of NC_000006.12, forward strand.
GACAGTGTCAAAGCTTCCTCTGTTGCCAGTTTCCAGAACCACTGTCATGAAAAATGGAGTAAATTATAACATGTACCCTGCTGATGCAGGCTGAAGTTTCCATCTCAAAGGTTCTGATCCTGGCTTTATACTTTCAAAATATCATAAACTATTATTGTAGTACTCTGGCAAATGGGAAATAATTGTCAGCAATGCTCAATGGTTTGAAGAAGGCTATTGCTTAAAAAGTTCAAGGTGCTTTATTCCCTCTGTGAAGAATGCTTGTCTTCCCTTCAGTCATCATCTCTCACAAAATCAAGCATACTGACATCTTGAAAACATGCTTCTTTCCAGACAGGTACATCTTTGCCTCAGTCATAAAGCTGAAAGGACTACTGTACTCTTTAATGGGATTTCCAGGCAGTGGGAAGATGATCTGAAAGCCCAAACTAATAAACGCCTGTCTCTGCTTGTGACCTAGAAAATACTTCCCTTTGGTGGGCAGAAAGACTCTGTGTCACTGAAATTGCTTTGGAGGGATGTCATTTCATGTTTGGAGGTGTGAGTTGAGCTCAATCTGCTGAATAGCTCTCAACAATTGCCCTTTGGTACAATAAATAAAGAAGTTTGAAATTCTGAAGCAATACCTGCTCTTCTCTGCTAAAATAAGATTAGCATTCATTTTGCCACAAAAAGGAAAAAAAAGGTCATTTTTAAAGAAGAAGAAGGATTTATTCAATATTACTTGAAGGAACAAATACTTGATTTCTATTATTCCTGCTGTTTTTAACTGTCAACCTATTTAGTCCCCAGCCCTGATATCACACACACACACACACAAAACAGGGTAAAAAAAGACATAACAGAAAACACTTCAATAGAAAGCATGTTATAGCACATAGACCTTTGAATAAAGATGTCTATATGTGCTGCTATTACGAGAACACACAATATTTTTTTAATGGTGGCTGGAGTGCTAATAGTGCACAGATTTGCATAAACTGACCTGCTGATCAGTGCTCATGTCCAGAAACTGGAACACCTCCTGAGAAATAGTTAATGGACCCCCATGCTCAGAAATCAACACTGAATTCACAAATATTCAATTATGTGTATTTTGCTTGAAGGTCATCCAAAATAACACATAAGTTATTTAAGGATGGATAAGTACCTTTCAATAACAAATGTCCTCCTAAAATTGGTATTTGTTGTATTATTCATTCAATTTATTGAATAATTTTGTATTACTATATGGTATATGAATCTCCCCTATCTACTGCTCTCATTGCTATATCTTATGTTTATAAAATGCTTAGTTGATTGGAAAAGATACAATATCACCCCTAAGGCCATACCTACCTAAATCAACCAGTTTAATCATTTTCATAGATATGATTAGAGTAATTCAATAACAGAAGATTAACTGGTTAAAAAACCTATGGGTCAAAGGGCTGTTTCTGTCAAAAACAAATGAGAAGTAAACTAGTCTATGAGACTGCCATTTTTAAAAAAAATAGACTATTTTACTGAAGTGTGACATTTATAGATGAAAGTGTTCTTATTCTAACGACAAAATTACACACCAACATAGCCACATCCCAAGAAAATTAAAAAAAAATAGAAACACCACAGAAGACACCTATCAGTATCATTTCAAATACTATAGCTTTGTCTGTTGTTGCACATTGTATAAATGGAAGATAAGTGCCTGGTTTCTTTTGATTGATATTCTAGTGTTGAGATTATCCCATGTGATTTTTTCATGGAAGTAATTTACTAATATTCTCACTGTGTAAATTCAGATTGTATGACTATAGTACAATCTATTTCTCTATTCTATTCTTAGTGAATATTTAAGTTATTTGTAGTTGTTAACTATTAAAATTAACTTTATTATGATTATATTTTCTCACTTATTCTATCAATGTGGTAATTTTCATTGATTTCCAAGTGTTAAGTTCATCTTGCATTACTAAAATAGACACAAATCTGTTTGTTTTCCTTTTTATACATTAACCTATTTGGTTTACTAATATTTTGTTTGGGGTTTTTGTGAACATGTTTATGAAAAATATTGGCATTTAATTTTCCCTCTTGTAAATCTACTTGTCAGTTTTTTGGGGGTATATATTATGCTTCCTCATAGCTTGAGTTTGCAAGTAATTTCTCCTTTTATCTTTGTGATGTCCGTACTATCTGTAATAATGTCACTTTTTAAATCATCCATATTAATTTTTTGTGCATTCTCTCATTTTGATTTATGATTAGTATCATTAGGATTTGTCATTTTTATTAAAACAATGTTTGGCTTTGTTGACACTTTCTATGTTTTTCTTTTATAACTATCTGTAATTTATGTTCTCAGTTTATTATGCCCATCCTCAGCTTTCTTTTTGCTTAACTGGTTTTTGATTTAGCTTCTCAAATTAGAAGTACAGTTCATCCATTTTTTGCCACTTTTTAATTATAATACCTAATAAAGAACATAATCTCCCAGTTAAGCATAGCTTTAGTTGCATCTTAAAATTATTATATGCAATATTTTATCATTTTTTATTTCAAATTATATTTTGTGTTTTCTAGTTTGACCCATAGATTACTTAGAAGTGCATGGTCTAAGAAGAACTGGTACCAATTTTACTAAAACTATTCCGAAATAATGAATAGAGGGGATTCCTCCCTAACTCATTCTATGAAACCAGTATCATCATGACATCAAAATCTGATAAGGACACAACAACAACAACAAAAACTAAGGGCCAGTATGTATCCCTAATTAACATGGATGCAAAAATCTTCAACAAAATACTAGCAAACCAAAACCAATAGTACATCAAAAGTATAATCCATCACAATCAAATGAGTTTTATTCTAGGGATGCAAGAATGGTTGAACGAATGAATATCAATAAATGTGATTCACCACATAAACAGAATTAAAAAGAAAAACCATATGAATATCTCAATAGATGCAGCAAAAGCATGCATTAAAATCCAACATTCCCTTGTGATTAAAAACCCTCAAAAAACTAGGCATTGAAGGAACATATCTCAAAATAATAAGAGCCATCTAAGACAAACCAACAGCTAACATCATGCTGAATGGGCAAAAGTTGAAGGCATTCCCCCTAAGAACTAGAAAAAGACAAAGATGTTCACTCCCACCACTCCTGTTCAACATATGACTGAAAATCCTAGCCAGAGCAATCAGGCAAGAGAAAAAAGTAAAAGGTATTCAAACTGGAAAAGGGGAAGACAAATTATTTCTGTTTGCTGATAACATAATTTTATACTTAGAAAAACTCTAATGATTCTTCCAAAAGACTCCTAGACTTGATAAATGTCTTCAATAAAGTTTCAGGATACAAAATTAATGTAAAAAAATCAGTTTCATTTCTATGTACCAACAACATTCAAGCTGGGAACCAAATCAATAACTCAATCACATTTACAATAGCCACACACACAAAATAAAATACTAGGGATACATTTAACCAAGGAGGTGAAGGATCTCTACAAGATGAACTACAAAATACTGATGAAAGAAATCATAGATGACACAAACAAATGGAAAAATATCTTAAGCTCATGGATTGGAAGAATTAATATTGCTAAAATGACCATACTGCCTAAAGCAACTTACATATTCAGCACAAGTCTGTGAAATTACCAATGCGTTTTTCATTAATTTAGAAAAAAATGAATTAAAGACAAATGTAAGTCATGAAACTCTAAAAATACTATAAGAACACCCAAGGAAAACTCTTCTGGACATTGGCCTAGGCAAAGAATTTATGACTAAGACCTCAAAAGCAATCAAACACAGACATAAATTGACAATTGGGACTTAATTAAACTAAACAGCTTCTGTACAGCAAAAGAAACAATAAACAGAGTAAACAGGCAACCTACAGAATGGGAGAAAATATCTGCAAGCTACATATCCAACAAAAGACTAATATTCAGAATCTATGAGGAACTCAAACAAATCAAGAAATCAAGAAAAAATAAACAACTCCATTAAAAAGTGGACCAAATCATTTTTCAAAAGATAATATACAAATGCCCAACAAAGAAATCAAAAAGTGCTCAACATCACTAAATATCAGGGAAATGTAAATTAAAACTACAATGAGATACCATCTCACACCAGTCAAAATGGCTACTATTAAAAAGTCAAAAAAAAAACAGATGTTGGTGAGAATGTGGAGAAAAGTGAACAGTTACACATTGTTTGTGGGAATGTAAATTAGTACAATCCCTATGAAAAAGAGTATGAAGATTTCTCAGAGAACTAAAAATAGAACTACCATTCAACCTAGCAATCCCACTACTAGGTACCTACCCAAAGGAAAAGAAATCATTATATCAAAAAGACCCCTTCACTCATATGGTTATCACAGCACTATTCAAGATAGCAAGGTCATGGAATCAACCTAAGTGTCCATCAACTGATGACTGGATAAAGAAAATGTGCCATATCTACCCCTCAGAATACTACTACATAGTCATAAAAAAGAATGAAATCATGACTTTTGCAGCAGCACAGTGAGCTCAAGGGCATTATCCTAAGTGAAATAACTCAAAAATAGAATATCAAATACATGTTCTCACTCATAAAAGCAGGAGGTAAACAATGGGTATATAGGCACATACAGTGAGAAATAATAGACTGGGGACTCCAAAAGGAGGGAGAAGTAGAGGGGGATGAGGGTTGAAAAATTACGTATTGGGTAGAATGTTCATTATTAGGGAGATAAGTACACTAGAAGCCCAAACTTCACCATTACACAGCATATCCATGTAACGAACTTGCCCATGTACCCCCCTGAACCTGTAAAAATAAAAACAAATAAGAATAAAATAAAAAGAAATGCATTGCCTAATTTGTAAACATATGGGGATTTCCAATTATCATTTTGTAATTAATTTATACGTTAATTCCACTATAGTCAGAGAAAATGCTCTGCATATTTTAAGTTGAGATTTGAAATGATTTGTTTTGTGGCCCAACATACAGTCAATTTTTTAAAAAATGTTTTATCTATGCTTGAAAATAATGTGTATTCTTTTATCACTGTATGCAATATTCACTAGGTCAGGCAAAATTTAATCATTGCATTGTTTAAAACTTTTATAAATTTATTAATTTTACATGTTTTTTCTTATCTCTTGCTGAAAAAAGTGTGTTATCTTCCATTATAATTGTGCATTTCTATAATTCTTTTAGTTCTATCATCTTTACCTTATATTTTTATTCTATATTTTATTAAGAGCATATAAATTTAGAATGATAATATTTTCCTGGTAAATAAAACATTTTATCATTATACAATGTGCCTTTCTGTTTCTAGCAATGTTTTTAACTTAAAATCTACTTTGTTATATATTAGTGTAGCTTCATCTACTTTCTCCTACATCTCTTTATTTTGAGGGATGCATGTCTAATTATAACATATCTCTATGTCTAATTATAGTATATCATTTGTAAGCAACTTCTAGGTAGAAGTTATTTGACCTTTTTATTCAGTCTGACAAGCTTTGTCTTTTAGAATTGCAGTATATAGTTTATTTACATTTAATCAAAATACCAATAAATATTGGCTTAAATTCACCATATTTTTATTTGGTTTATAGTTGTACACATCCTATGTTCCTTTTTCTCTCCTGTCTTCCCTTTTAAAATATTTCTTCATCATTTTAATTTTATTTCCCATTTATTAGATTATTTAAATTATATTACTATTCTTTTAGTGTTTACTCATAAAATTAGAATGTGACTTCTTGATTTATTAAACTCTAATGAAAATTAATACTGTTAAAGAATGAAAATGTAATTTATCATTCAACACAGGACACTTTGAGAGTGAAACGGCACCCTATCATTAATTATGTCTGATAAGAGGCCTAATGCAAACCAGAACTTACAGTCAGCCCATATGTTTACCACTTTCCAGGCAATACACGAACCATAGAACACAATTACTCTCTTTATCCTCCTCCTGATTTATGTGTTATATTGTTGTGTATTTTAATTCTAAATATATTTGAAACCTAAAACACATTATTATTGTTTTGTATAGTGAATATTTATTTATATTTACAAATATATTTACTGAATCTCCAGACAAATCTGTGATTATTTTCCTTTTGCCTAGAGAACATTCTCAAGTGTTTATTTTGGTGTAGCATGGATAGAGATAATTTCTTGGAATAATTTTGTGAAAAAAATTTTTATTTTCTAAAATATATTTCCACTGAATATAAAATTATAGTTTGGAAATAATTTTCTTTCAGTGCTTTCAAGATATTCTATTAACTTCTAGTTTCCATCATTTATCGTAAGTCAGCTGTCATTCTTGTTATTCTTTTTTGAGATTTAATACACCTTTTTATTCTGATTCTTTAATATGAATGTCTTTGTCTTTTGCTCGCAGCAGTTTTTCTATAATGTGCCTACATGTGATTTCCTTTATATTTACCATGCTTAGAGTTTTAGAACTTCTCAAAACCATAGCTCAATACATTTCTTCAGTTTTTTAAAATTCTCTATCATTATTTCTTCAAATTTTTATTGTTGTCATTTATTATTTTTCATAATTTCCATTTATCTGCTAAAATTCTCCATCTTGTCTTTGAATTGTACAAACACATAGTCATTTTGAAGTGTGCCATATAACTGAATTTTCTGGATAACCTGTGTGTTAGGTATCATGATGAATCCCCAAAGATGTCCACATCTAACTTGAAACCCGTGTATATGTTAGGTTACAAAGAAAATGGGAATTAAGATTCAGATGTAATTTAGTTTATGAATAAGCTAATTTTAAGCTCGAAAGATTATTCTGGATTATCCTGAAGGGTTTAATACAATCATAAATGCCCTTATCAGTAAAAAAGGAAATAGAAGAGGCAGAACCAGAGATTTGCAGTGTCAGAAATATTCTGCCTGAGGTTGCTGGCTGTAAAACACGGAGGAATGGAGCCATTAGTTATGAAATTCAGATAGTCTCCAACATCTGGAAAAGCAAAAGATATGTGTTCTCTTCTAGAGCCTCCAGAAATAACACAATCCTGCTGATACTGAGTTTAGCCCAGTGAGACTCATTTCAGACTTCTGTCCTCAAGGACTGTAGTTCCTAAGTTCACATTGTCACTAAGTTTATGATAATTTGTTACCACATCCATACATCCACAGAAAACCAGTACACCTTGTAAGTCTATTTCTCCTGTCTTTTTTTTTCTTTTATTTTAGTCAAATGTTGTCTTCCTATAAACTTAGGAAGACATTTTTGTTTAAGTACCTGGCATTGTGTATAAAAAATGTACAAATAATTTGAAGCTCCAGCAGGGATTAACTTTTGCTTTTAGCAGGCAGCTAAGGGCAGATCACCTTAGTCCAATCAATGATTAAGCTGATTCAAAAGTGAGCTTCAATTTTTGTTTAGGTTGCTTTATTTCAGGTTCATCTTTTCCTATTTGTCAACTATAATCCTGCATTTAACAAGAGATCCTTCTGTTTGGTAGGTTTTGACTTTAATTTCCATACCTCCAGTGCTCTGCTCAGCTTTGCAACTCCTCAGCTAAAAGTTTGGAATTGATAACAGCCTCAAGAAGAAAATCAGCACCAAATGTCAACTCACTATTCATGGCTTCCTTGCTCTTTCAGGTCTTGTTTTCGTAAATTCTCACTGCTTTGGTAGCATTCTGTTACTATTAAAAACTATTTCTTTAAATATTATGTCCAACTTTTATGATTGTTCTCAGCAGAAAAGTTGTTCCAAACAACCCAGTCCTCCATTTTCTGTAGGTTTATTCTAGTGCTGCCTCTTATGTGGAGGTGAAGACTCAGAGTAGAAAGTGTAATCAGAGGCCTCATTTTCAACTTTCTTGCTGGTATAGAAATATACTGAACATTAGAGATGTGTTGGTTAATGGTTGACAACCAGCTAAACATCTGTATTTCCTTTTTTTGTGGCATAAATCTCCCATCATAATTAACTTGGAGCTACCTTCATTGTTTTACTGAATTTGAAGTTTGGAAGAAATTTGCACAGTTTGCTCTCAGGAACCAATGTAAGCCAGATCAAACACATCTCATGTCTGGAGGACAAAATAAAATTGTTATAATGAGTATGGAAGCACCCTTGTGCTAGCCTTACTATTTTATTTTTGAAAACCTTATTTTAAATACATTACTCATGTTCCTCAATTACTAACTGAACATATATCTCATAAGCCAGTGAATGCTGGGTTCCCGACCCGTAGTGTCAATGATGTAATAGTGAGCAAATGAGACAGCACACCTCTTCTTAGGACTTACTTAAGTGGCTCAACCAAGGTTAAACACCCAAATAAATTATTAATTGTACATTGTGATAAGCACTATGAAGTAAAAGATAGGGTGCAATAATGGAGATTCAATTTAAGCAAGGGGACTAAGGAAGGACTTGATTTTAAAATGACACTGAAACTGTGACCTGAAGGATGAGGTGTCAATCAGGCTGAGTGGAACGAATTTACTCACCATCATTAAAATGCCATCTGTCAAACTGTTTACCTTCTGGAGAAAAATAGCATAGGTAAACTTTTACTTTTACATGAGAATTTTCAAATTATTGACAGAAATTATTATATTCCAACTTTTAATTTTTAATGTAAATAGCTGTGCCATGGCCCACTCCTTTCTTCAATCTGATGTCTCCAAAATGTTTTTTTTTAATTTTTTAACTTAGTGCTCTCCCCTAAAATCTTTATATACTTGCCAATGTTTCCTATAAATTGAATTTCTAGAATCCTACACAATGGACTATATATCTTCTGATCAGTGCTGAAGACAGTGAAACTTTTATCTTTATTATTTTGGGACAAAATTCTATAATTATATTTACTGCATTCCTGAATATCTACAGTATGATGACAATATCACTAATAATGTCTCCAAAGTCTGCAAGAACCTAAAATGCCTTCCCAATGATAGAAATAAGACTTAATTACGCTCTTATTAGTTTTAATATTAGACTACAGTTTGTTGTACTGTTATTCTTAAAATTGCTAACATACTTCAGATAGTAGTTATTTTTTATAAATGCAAATAGTTGATTGATCATTACATCCATTCACAACTCCTCCTGTCTTTTATGTTTGAGATGTTAACATACTAATGCATAGCAACTTGCTGTGTTGATTAATAATGTAGGATAAAAAGGGTGTAGTTAACTCAGTAGTTTTCAACCACAAGTAGTTCTCCCAATTTGGCAATATCCAGGGATATTTTTGATTGTCATCCCAGGGACTGTACAACTGGTGTCTGCTGGGTAGAGGCCAGAGATGCTGCTAAGCAGCCTACAATATGCAGGATAGGCCCTTACTACAAAGGATTATTTGTCCAAAACAAAAGTGCTAGGTTTAAGAAACCCTGAATTAACTACAATAATTTATGGACCAATATTTATATCTGGATGATTTAACTATGATACCTATTTAAATTTTAAGTAGTAAGCTATGGTTACATATTACAGAATAGCCCCTTACCACAAAGGATTATGTTGTCCAAAAAAAAGGTGCTAGGTTTAAGAAACCCTGAATTAACTAGAACGATTTATCGGTCAATATTTATATCTGGATGATTTAACTATGTTACCTATTTAAATTTTAAGTAGTAAGCTACATATTATTAAGTAGTAAGCTATGGTTACATAGTACATATTCTGGTTCATATTACTTCACACATTTTTGTATGCTGCTTTGGTCCAAAAGAACTTCCATTTATCATTGACAATGCAAGGCATATAGATCCCATTTCTGTAAATAGAGATCTCTCATAAATACTCTGTGAGTTTTAAAAGTGAATGTCAATCACGAAAATTCAAAGTTAATTATACACTTTTTAAAATCATGTTCATTTCATCATTTATTTTCAATAGATTTTGTGCTATTTTCTGGCTAAGGTGCCCCTTTCCATTGCAAATTGTTTACCTCAAGGGAAGGAATTTGATAGTGTATCCAGTTAGACTCCTGCCACACTAAATGTTTCATTGCAATCTTTGGTTTAAGCCTTTATTATCTCCTTGTTATAAGGGTAGATTTTAAGACAAAATGCTACATCCATGGAGACATGGAGATTTAGGTAACATCCAGATTCAATTAAATGGCACTGGAGGTATTAGAGACACAGGTAGAACACAGTGAACACTTACGATGGAGAATTCATGATGATCCAAGGCATCATAGACATTTTGTACTTTGAATTTGAAAGCAATTATATCTACCTAAATTTCCTCAGTAAGTGCAACAACATTCAAATACTCCATCTTTTATACTTTCAAGCACACATGCTTAGCTGGCAGAAAAAAAAACTTTCTGAGTTTTTCAGTCTGTAACCCTGAACTCTGTAGAGATCACTGAACTGATATGCAGTCTTTCAGAGGCCAGTGTTGGTGACCAAAGATCATGTGTAGCTCAGTTCTGTGATGACTGCTCTTACTTATTCTCTATTTGCATCGTGGATAAACTTCACTTTGCAATGCATGTCTGCCAGCTGCATGGCTGACCTGCATAATAATGGCAATGGGAGATCAATGGAATGAATGATGCAAAATTGATCTACTGATACGTTCAAAAATTCTGACACAGAATTGATTCATGGGACAGTAATGCTTCTAAGGCTCAAGACACATTTTCTAGATCTTTATTTTATGATGACCTAGCAGCCAATGAAACTGCTTAGACTGTAGTATCTGATTCAAATTTGCTCATCACTTTATACTGAAGATAAAATCACGACACATTTAATAGAAATGATAAGGCATACTTTCTGCCAAACTATAAAGAATTGTTGAATGCTTGAAAATATGACCCAGTTTATTGACCAGAATCTCAAGTGGCAAATGGAAGACACCTGGGACAAGTTAAACATTAGCTCCATGACAACAGGAGCATTACTCTGTGCACAGATGTACCACTGGGCCTATCAAGCCTGACATATAGCAAGTTCTCAATAACTACTGAAGGACTGCATGAATATAGTTATTTTAATGGGCATAGCCCTATCTTTCATTTAATACATGTTTATTCTAGTTCCTAAACGAATGTTGTTTATTGGTTTCTTTTTCACTGTAATGTCTCACAATATCTAGTACTATTCCCATGTTCAATTGATAGTAATTAAATATCAAAGACTATATGACAATGTGACAGGTTTTCCTCTCATAACAAATGCTATTAGCCTAGATTTTTCTTTTGAAAACAAACATAATACCAGCTATGCCTGTAGCTACTCATAAGCATAAACATAGTATAAAAAGGCCTTTGAACCATCTTCCATTGTCACTATCCCTTTTATGACTGAAAACCTCTTCATCTTCTAAAACTGATGAGCTGAATTTTATTAAGAGAGATTTGTGGCAAGTCTCAGGAAGATTTGTGTAATATTCTCTCCTGTACGAAGAAAAGATCCTCCCATTCATCATCAATGGTTGATCAGAAGCGCTGTTTTAACAACATTTCTGATGATGAATGAGTATATCCTTCTTTCATATTAAAACAAATATTAAAAAAGCCATCTTCTTGAATCATGAAAGAAATCTTTCAATGCAGTTTAATCATGAAGGGTAGAAGTGAGATCAGCAGAGGAAGCCTGTGTATGGAAGGAGGTGGCCCTCTCTGCTATCTCAATTTCACCATTCTATGATTAGCAGAGGAAAGGCTAAATCCCAATTCTGTGGTAGACTAACACGTTAATAATACTAATCTTAAATGTATATCTCCGTGTCATATATATTAGGAAACAAGATGGAGACATTAAGCCCCAGTTAATAATCTTCATATGAAAGAATACCCCCAGGAAACATCACACACTCATTCCACTTTACAACTATTTAGTTCACAGGTATTGCAATTGCTGTTAAATCCTTTTTGACTTATTTAAGCTTCAGGGCAGTATGCAAAAAAATGCATTTTTTTAAAAGCTGGGACTTGATCATGATTAGCTCTTTTATTACATGATTGAGGAAGGATATATGGCTGGCCACAGAATGCTACTTAATGACTCTGAACATTTTACACAGTCTGCATAAATGTCATTTTGAAATAGCTGTAACAATAGTGCTTCACTCACTAGCTTGGGCCCTTAAAGCATTTCCATTAAACATCTCATTCTAAAAGAAAAAAAGTCAAGTTATTTTAAATCTCACTAGGCTACAATTAAGATGATGATTTCTTCTCAGTGCAAAATATTAGCTGGAGTTTAGGGGTAAATTAAAACACAGACATAAGTTTCTCAATACTTTATCTCTTTTTAAAATCTGTTTTTTACTTAGAAAAGAATTTATCAGCATTTAATAGGCATATCGTGTGTAAAATGTGGTTGTTATGCCAACAAATGTAGATGTTTAGAATTAGAATTTTATCACTTCAGATGCACTGATATGGCAATAATAGAAAATTCTAACAGAGAAATCACCCTTTATTTGCAAGGGAATATGTTTCAAGACTCCTGGGGAATGCCTGAAACTGTGAATATTGCCAAATCCTATATGTGTTATTTTTTCTTGTACATACATACATATAATAAAGTATAATTTATAAATTAGGCACAGTAAGAGATTAACAAAAATAACATAATAAAATAGAGCAATTACAACAATATATCATAATGAGTTTTGTGAATGTTCTCTCTCTCAAAATATATTATTGTACTGTACCCACCCTTTTTCTTGTGATAATGTGAGATTATAAAATTTCTACATGATGAGTTGAAGTAAGGTGAATGATGTAAGCATTATAATGTAGTGTTAGGTTACTATTGACCTTGAACATAAGTACTACTGTACTATAGCAATCAATCTGATAACTAAGATGGCTACTAAGCACTCATGGGCAGGGTTAGCACATACAGCATGGATATGCTAGACAAAGGGAGGATTGTCTCAGAATGGCATGCAATGTAAAACTTATAAATTATTTATTTCTGAAATTTTTTATTTAATATTTTTGGACTATGGTTGACCACAGAGAAGTGGAAAGTGAAACTGTGGATAAGGGGGGACTATTATACTGGCCTAATGTAGAAGTTGGCATACTTCTCCTGCAAAGAGCCAGATAGTAAATATGTTAAGCTTTGCAATCCATAACTACTGTATCTGTCACAACTACTCAATTATACCATTCATAACTATCAACTCTGTTACTGTAGTGCAAGGAGCTATTATGCAATACATAAATAAATACGGTGACCCTGCTCCAATAAAATTTTATTAACAAAAATGGGTGGTAGGTTGGATTTGGCCTGCAGATTGTTTGTCACCCCATGATTTAATCAACAAGGACCTATACTGTTTATTCAAAGTGAAATTTAGAGGCTGGCAGTCAGGGGTTGATTCAACAACTTTAAGAGTCTGAGCAGCGGGTCTTATTCCCTCTGCTACTCTAGGCCTACTTCACGTAATTCCAAGATGACAGCTATAGCTCCAAATACTTGGTCCACTTCTAAACAAGAAGCATGAGTATTTTCAGGGCAATGAGAATGAGTCTTCCTCACATGCTTCCCTTCTTTGATAAGGAAAAAAAAAATGTCACAGAAGTTTCTCGTACTTCCCCTTTTATCTCAGTCAGTCTGGTCATATGTCTACTCCTAGGCCAATTGTTGCCAAAAGGGAATGAGGTTGGCATAATTAAATGAATGCAGTTTATTCTTTGGGGCTGATCTTATTGCCATTGAAAAAGATGGCAGTTATGATACACAGATGAAGATAGAATGGCCCATTGTGTATGCAATCAATACTATGCCACACAAACAGTACTGAGATTTTAGTTGTTTTGGTTTGTTTAATTGGTTAAAGTATGATATCTTTACAATGTTTCAGATTTTATTTTGATTCATTTGTGGAATAATTAAAAATGACCCCATAGCTATCCTTTGGGTCTTTTGACCTCTCCGTTAAAGTTCTATGCATGATCTTAGGCTGCAAAGATTTTAGGCAGATAATTTTATTTTGCTGGTGATTTATCTATCTGAAAATTTGCAGGGAAAGGTGGGAAAGTATTACTGTAGATCCTGATAAATGGAATAAAAAAAAAGCCTAAACTTTTTAGAGCTACATTCTCAAAACAAATTCTCTAAGCTTAAACAAGTATAAATTGGAAAATCTAAGTACAGAGACTGAATTCTGGTCCCAAGAAAAGTCACAGTTGAAGATGTATATCAGCCCCATAGGACTATAAGTTGTTTCCCTACAGGACTGTGGTTGTATATGACAGTCAGCAAAGTGGAATCCAGGGGACCATTTATGACATATAGTCTCCAGTGAGGGAGGCTTATCTAAAAGAAGTGAAGTCAGGTACCCAGGAGTAGTCAAAACAAATTCTTTACTCTTAAAATGATTGTTTCTTCTAAACAGGACATGACCCCTTACTTGAGTTTATTCCCCAACTTGTACTGCCTCAAGAAGAGTACTGCAGTACTCAATTAAACTGCTTGCTGGACAACAGAGGAAATGGTTTCCAGTGGATTGCAGGCCACTGGAAGAAATAGTAAGACACAACTTCATAGCTGTTTTAGACCTTGGCAGCAGAAATAAACCTGGAGCAGAGGAGAAGAGAAATGTGTAAGCCTCATAAAACTAATTTGTGAGTACATATGTGGCATTTCCTAAGAACTCTGAAAAAAGGTGGGAGGCTCTATAGGAATTGAAAATGACACCAAAATGCTGCTTTTCAAAGTTAATGAAGTAAGATAATATTAATGTGTTTAGAACAAGCACAAGTTGTCAGCATAAATGGAGCTTAAAAAAGAGAGATTTTCCCATTCATCCCCTTTTTGCCTTCTAATGATCTGCTTATATAATTCCAACATGACTGGTTAAAACTATTTTCAAATAAGTCAAATTATTAATTACTTTTGATATATGCAACCCAGAATAGAGAGTTTTCCAACTATTAAATCTTACCCCAACATAGATTTGAGGGAGATTGAAACATCTTCCTTCCCAAAAATATTTTGGCCTGGTCTTGTCAGTAGCTGGAATTCTTAAGCCTATCCACAAATATTAACTGCTGCATCCTTTAGTTGCAAGGGCCTGCATGGTCTGGTCATTCTTATCTTATTACAAACCCCACTGGGCTAAGGTATTGAAGACCTGTGTTAAAATGCAAAAGCTACCAGGAAGAGATAAGACATTAAGCAATTACATGCGATTAGAACCTTAACTCATCAGATTAGTCTCAATCGCTTAGAAAGACCCTTGAGAGAACCAAGCATGGGTAAATAACAAATGAATTTTGATGGGGTAGTAAATGGATAATATATATCTAAGAAAACAAATAGGAATGAAGCACTTCATCTCTGAGAAATGAAGTTTATAGAATTGGCAGAAAATATACTTCTATGTCATTGATCTTTCTGTTTTTGCCCTATTTCTACCTATATTTAACCAGAAATTCTAGTAACATCTTTCTTATTTTCTAACATACATATTTTATCTATATTTACCCAGAAATTCCAGGAACTTCTTTCTTATTTTCTAACATACATATGCACACATGTATGCCCACAGTTAGGCCAGAGTATGCTATTGAAACATTTCATTTTAAGAAACGCAGAAACTGGAGGTCAATTCAACTTAGAGTTTTTCTAGTTGTAATATAATAGCTATCATTTACTGAATGCTTAGAATGTAATGGACTTTGTGATAAATGGTTTAAGTGAAAGAGCCAGAATTTTTCCATTTATCTGTCTGACTTTAAGGCAGGAGGATTTTTTAAAACTTATGCAATTTTTATAGTTGGGAAAAAAAAAACAAGAATCAGAAAATCTGAAAGCCTTTGCAGGCTGCATTCCTGCCAGAACCAAGTAATAGCACTTTACTTAGAAAGGCAAACATTCTCCTGTTTGCCACACTTAGCTGGCTGCCTTCATTTAGGTCACTTGCTTCCACTAGAGGCAGAAACATGTCAATTTCCATAATATCCAGTCCTGCTATACTGCCTCATATTAACTTATGACACAAAACTTATGATTCTATGTTAATTTAAAATACCATAAGCTTACAAATGAATAGCACTAAAAAGTATTCAAAAGTATTATCAGATGATAAACAAAATGACTCTAGTCTATTATTATAACTTCTTGGGAAGTAAAACCTATATAAGGGTAGTAAAGTTATTCTCAAGTATTAGTACTAAAGGTTTTTTTAAAAGAAGCATAAAAAACAGAAAAGTTATATCAAGGTAAATAATTTTACCACCCAGTATCATTTCATAGACATTAGTAGTCTACAAAATTGCATCAAGTTTTATAAAGCCATCAGAATGAAGAGATTTAATTCTTCACAACATATTGCTGCCCACTTATAAATTTTTGTGATATCCAGAATTACTAAAGTTCATTTTAAAATATGCATATTTTAAAATTGCATATATGTTAAAATTTAGAAACAAAATATTATATGTCCAATACATATAATATGTTAAACTGATAACATTTTGGTATACAACAAGAGCAAAATCATTAAGTCATACCATTAGAAAAACAGAAATTCTAATCAGAAGTACACAGAGTAATACAGCAGTCAAATTCCAGTTCTTAGGGGTGATTATTTGCTAACAATAAATGATAGTACTGTGTGTGTCAATAGTCATTGAGACGGGTTACACAGCATGAAAACAGCTGTTAAGTCAGTTCAATAAGAGATAAAAATCAAACCAACTAGCTATCTGGCATCAGTTATTCAAATTAATCTATTGATTAAATTTATTCACTGTTTCTAACATTTGCTTTGGTATATTGTAGTAAAAGTATAATTTCCTCAGTGGGATCTGGCTGAAGCTTCTCCCCATCATAAGCATGAGCCCAAAAACCAACATAAAATTTATCAGAGAAGAAATGACCAAAGAAGTTACTGGCAGTTTCCTCAAAGACCAATTAATATTTAGTAAAGAAGTAATGAATTTTACTTGAGACTGCTCTAGCAAACATATCATTCATTCATCCATCTGCTCATGTATTTATATAAAAATTATTGAGCACTTACTATGCTCCATTTCTGTGGTCCTCTCCCTCTTGGAGTTTATAGTCTGATGGAGAAAATAATATTAACCAAAGAATTAAAACATGAATCAAACTTTTATAAGCACCAAGAAACAAAATGACACTGATAATGTACATAGGAGATCCCATTTATACTGGGAATTCTGAGAAGCTTACATGAGGAAATTACATTTGAGACCAAGTCTGATCCATAAGTAGGCTTTCTTGTCCCACTGAGGTTCATTCACACTAATAACTCCAATTTCACTTGCTATAACCCTCACTGGCATAATGGAGATCCTCTAGTCTGTACTACCCTAAAGTTTCACTGAGTCGTTTCTAGAACTCCCAGTAGTGTCTCAACTGAGTTATCCCTGAAGTCCTGTTTTCTGCTCTGACAAGCTGCACTGACACCCTTGCCAGAGGAAAAAACCTTGAGAGATGCAACTCCTCAAGCAGATCTTTCTGAGAGAACATTCAATTCTATAAATGTTATGTACCAATTGTTTAGAAATGCAGTCTCAGCCCTACCAGCACATTTCCGTGTACCTGACAACTTATGGATCCTCTAATATGGCCTGTGTCTCTCTGATCTCAGACACAGGTCTAGGGTGCTGGACCAGGGACAGGTGACCATTATCTGAGAAGGTCACATGTGCTGCTTCCACCTTCTCTTTTTTATTCTTCCCACTCCCTCCCAGTTACCCAAAGAAACATCTCTTTTCTCCCTCCGCCTAAAGTATTCTGCTCCCCTAGGCCGGCTTGTCAACAGACAAACCTGGGCAGAGAACTAGCAAATTCAGATACGATACCAACTCAAAGAGAACATAATTTGTCTATTATACTTTAATTAGTTACTAAATGTGAACATCCATTTAACCAACAGTTTCCTTAATTAGATATTGTATTTAACCCACATTTCTCATTTCCATAGGTGACTCAATATTCTTTCCCGCTGGAATTGAGTCTTTTTTAATTTTCTGGCTCACATTTTTGTGTGTGTGTGTGTGTGTGTGTGTGTGTGTGTGTGTGTGTGTTTAACCACCTGTGGCACTGTTGAGAGATAGCCAAGCCCAATGTGCAGGAGTCCACTGATTGATGACTGGTCATTAACCACAAGGGGACCATGAACCACATTTATGTAGAATGGAACAATGTTACAGTACCAAATGTAGTGAACTAATAATGATTTTCTTAAATCTCAAGTTCCCCCCTCCCAAGTGATAGTCTCAAATGAAAAGTTCTTAAAATATGTAAACTTTCAGAATTCTAATATTTGCATCCAAATAAATCTTCTGCATTAATAAAATAACTTTAAATTAGTATTTTATATTACTCTCATCTTTATTTTCACTATTCAACTGAAGACTTGCTGATTTATCTGATTGATAAGAAAGTCTAAGTCATCTAAAGAATATTTTTTAAAGATATTGCTTAATTACTCTGTCCAACAAAAAGATTTTTCCAGAATCCCCCCAGAAAAGATATAAAATAAAGATAAACTGAAGATGCATATTTCTCATCATTAAGAAATTCCTGCATGGCTGATTGCAACTTGAAGTATCATGAAACAATGACAGATGAATCCCACCAAAACTGCATGAAGCTATGAAGTTCCCAGAAATATCAAGTAAAAATGTAATTTTTATCTGAATACTTGAATATTATATTTAAGAAATAAAATAATGGTATTTAAGGTAGATGGTAATAAGCCTGAAGAACATTATATAATGAATGATGGGACTGGCAAGAAACAAAATCATCCATGGTCAGCTTAACTTTTCTGTCTTAACATTTGAAAAAATAAATCCAAGTTCTATTTTCCAAATAAATATTTCCATTAATAAACCTACAGATCTTAATGCCTCTGGTGGGAAAAAAGAGCTATGTGTACTTTTCTGCTAATTAGCTAAGAGTACATAGTATTTCTTGAATTGATATTATGAATTTAAAATTTTTGTTTAATGAATATTTGATTTCTTTCCTTTCCAAACATGGAAAGAGCAGCTTCAAAGAATGTTTTCTGTGTTGCTCAAAATTTAAATCAGTAACAAGAACATATTTACTGTATGACTAAAGAGCGAGATAAGACAGATTATATATTAAAAAATACCAAAAGTGAAAAAAACTTTCTATTTTATTTGACATAAGATGACGCTTGATTTATAAATTTCTAGACACCAATCAATCACTAAACAGTTGGGTTTTGCCTAAAATAAGAAGAACAAATTCTTTTCTAATTTATTTTTGTACAGACACAGCCCATATAAACCTTTTCTTGACCCTATCAAAGAGCTGAGGACTCAGAGCAACCACATAGCTCAAAATCCAAGGAAAACAGACGTCTGCAAGAATAGATAGGACAAAAGCAATGGCTCACTTAAAGCAGTGCCCAGGAGTAAAAGACACAAGTCATCACAGATGTAAATAAAAATAACGCATTTAAAATTTTTAGCAAATTTAGAAAGGCCAAGTAGTGTAAAAGTTTAGAATCCATGGAAACTGCAGATTTAAGAAGAGTTTATACCCATTCTTCAGATGTTTTCCACAGACAGCTAATGGGTACTCATGAGAAGATTAGGGATGAAGCAGGAGACTAGAGAAAGTCCCATTATTTTGTGATTCTGAAGGAGAGAAGCAGCCAGAGCTGCAGGAAAGGAACAAAGTTCTACCCACACCCTTTTCCCTATAGAAAAACAAAAACAACAAAAAGTCCTGAAATCACTTAGGGCAGCAGGGTACAATGAAAACGCATTAAAGTAGAAGGAAGAATAAAAATTTAAAAATATCCCCGAAGAAGGAGCAGAAAATAATCCTGGGTGAAGGATTCTATATCAATATAATCAGGAGTCTCCTATTGCCTCAGAGGGGAAGAAACTCCCACCTAAGAGCTACAAGTAATAAGATTGAATTGGTAATTAAAAGTTTTTCATCAAATAAAAGTCCAGGACCTGATCGCTTTACTACTGAAGTCTACCAAACATTCAAAGAAGAACTAATATCAATTCTTCTCAAACTACTTCAGAAAATTGAAGAGGAAGGAATTCTTCCAAATGCTTTCTATCAGGCCAGCATTATTCTGATACCAAAACCAGATAAAGACACACACAAAAAAGAAAACTACAGACCAATATCCCTGATAAGCATAGACACAAAAATCCTCAAAAAATACTAACAGGCCGGGCGCAATGGCTCATGCCTGTAATCCCAGCACTTTGGAAGGCCGAGACGGGTGGATCACCTGAGGTCAGGAGTTTGAGACCAGCCTGGCCAAAATGGTGAAACCCTGCTACTTGGGAGGCTGAGGCAGAATTGCTTGAACCCAGGAGGCAGAGGTTGCAGTGAGCCGATATTGTGCCGTGACACTCCAGCCTGGGCAAGAAGAGCAAAACTCTGTCAAAAAAAAAAAAAAACCTAACAAAATGAATCCAACAACACATTAAAAAATTACTCCGTGATCAAGTGGGATTCATCTCAGGGATGCAAGAATGGTTCAACCTATGCAAATCAATAAACATAATACCTCACATCAACAGAATCAAGGACAAAAACCATATAATCATTTCAATAGATGCTGATAAAGCATTTGATACAATTCAATAACCCTTCATGATAAAAATGTTCCACAAACTGGGGATAGAAGTAATACAACTCAAAACAATAAAGGCCATATATGACAAACACATAGCTAATATCATATTGAATGGGGAAAAATTGAAAGCCTTTCCACTAAAATCTGAATCAAGACGAGGATGCCTACTTTCACTACTTTTATTCCGTATAGCAATGGAAGTCCTAGAGATAGCAACCAGGCAAGAGAAAAAATTAAGGGTATGCAAATTGGAAAGGAAGAAGTCAAATTATCCTTGTTTACAGACAACATGATATGATATTTAGAAAAACCTGAAGACTCAACAAAAAACTTAGAATTGACACACACATTTGGTAAAGTTGCAGGATACAAAATCAACATATAAAAATCAGTAACATTTGCAAATGCCAACAGAAAACAATCTAAAACAAATTTTAAAAATGACAGTTTCATGTACAAGAGCTATAAAAATTTTTAAAAATAAAATACCTAGGAATAATTTTAGCAAAAAACACAACACACTTAAAAGAATTGAAATGATACAATTTCTCAACACAATGGATTAAACCAGAAATAAATTAGAGAAAGTTGTCCAGGAAAATCTTTAAATATTTGTAAATTATACACCATACTTCCACATAAACTATGAGTCTAGAAAAAAGTTAAAAGAAAATTAAGAATTCATTTTTCATTAAATGAAAATGAAAACACAAGGTATCAAAATTTGTTATAGGCAAATAAAAATCTGCTTACAAAACAATGTATATCATTAAATATTTTAATTATTAAAGAAGGAAGAGTTCAAAAAATTATCTAAGTATCCTCTTGAGGAAACAAAGAATGTAAGAATAAATTAAACCCAAAGCAGGCAGAAATAAGAAAATTCTGAGAGAAAAAAAATTTTTTTAAGATGACTGAAAATAACAATAAAAATGATAAACTTTTAATCAGATGCTTCAGGGTAAAAAATAGAAGACTAAAAAATCAATATTAAAAAGAAAAGAGAAGATTTCATTGATAATTCCTCAAACACTATAAGAATAATAATGGAATACTCTAAAAATTATATGCTTATGAATTCAACAATTTATATAACATTAAACAACTTTAAGAAACAAACTACTAAAGCATGTTCAAAAGGAATAGATAATTTACTCTATAACAATAAAGAATTTGAATTCATAATTGCAAAACTTCTAAGAATAATTTTTGTTAAAATGTCAGCCTATTTCCTAGTGGGCTTACTAGGACATAGCTTACTAGTCATCAAGAATTCAAGTAACATATAATACCAATTTTTAAAAATCATTTCCAGAGAATAGAGGAGAAAGAAATGCATTCCAAGACATTTTACAAGGCCAAGATTACACCGATAACAAAACCATTAAAAGACAACAGAAAACTACAGACTGACATTTTTTATAAACACCGATGAACAATCCTGAGGAAAATATTGGCAAATCAAATTTAGCATCATATGCAAAAGCTAATACATCATGACCAAATAGATTTTATACTTGGAAGGCAGGTTTGGTTCAATAACTGAAAATTAATCAGTGTAATTCACCATATCACAAGAAGAGAAATCATATGATGATTTCAATACACGCATCTCAATGAAAGCCTTTATAAAATTCAATATGTATTAATGTTAAAATAAGCAAACAGAAGAAAATTTCCTCAACCTGACATAAGATATCTACTAAAAGCCTTCATATAATGCCATTCTTAATGACAGACTTAGTATTTTTCTCTGTGATCAGGAACAGGCAAAATGTCCTTTCTTATCACTTCTATTTAACATGTTATTGGAGGTTTTATTCAGTGTAATAAATAAAAACAAAAAAATTAAAGACATACAGTTTTGAAAGAAAGACATATTATCTACATACAGAATCTTAACAATCTACAAAGAAGCTAGTATAACTAGTAAATAAATTTAACAATTTTACTGAAAACAAACTCCATAAACAAATATCCATTGTATTTTTACATGCTAACAATGAACAATGGGAAACTGAAATAAACAGACTATTGAAACAAATAGAGTATTATTTATAACATCAGAAACATTACTGAGATATAAGTGTAATAAAGTACAACTCAAGATTTATATACTAAAAACTACACTTATAAAGGAAATAAAAGAGGACCTAAATAAATTAAAATATATTTTAGGTTGATGGATCAGAAGACTCAATACATTAAGATGTCAATTCCACCCTAATAGATCTGTAGAGTCAATACAGTTACAACAAAAATGTCAGCAAAATTTTTTTGTGGAAATTTGCCATCAAATTCTAATATGGTAGGGTGGGAGGAGTGGGAAAGCAAAGGAACACAATAGCTCAAACAATTTTGAAAAGATAGAACAAAGTTGAAGGACTTATACTGTTCGCAGCAGTCAGCTTGGACTGCCATAATAAAATACTACATATTGGGTGGCATAAGCAACAGGAATTTATTTTCTCCTGGAGGACAGAAGTTCAAGAACAAGGGGCTAGCATGTTTGATGCTTCCTGATGCCTCTCTTCAAGGGGCTAGCATGTTTGCTGTTTCCTGATGCCTCTCTTCTTGGCTTGTAAATAGTCATTTTTAGCGAGCTGTGGCCCCACATTGCTTTTTCTCTGTGTGTGAGCACCTCTGGTGTCTCTTTTTCTTAAGGACACCAGTCTTATAGAATTAGGGCCCTACTTTTATGACTCATTCAACCTTAATTATCTCTTTAAATACCCTTTCTCCTAATAAAGTCACAAGGACTGCTAGAAGAAAATATAGAAGAAAATCTCTGTCACCTTGGGTTAGGCAAAAAGAAATTTAAATATGACACAAAAAGCATAATCTTGAAAAGTAAAAATTGGAAAACTGGACTTCCTCAAAATTAAAATCTCTACTTTTCAAATAAAACTTAAAATAAAAAGACAAGCCACAGATTGGAATAAAATACTTGAAGAACACATATCTGATATGATATAAAAGGTCTTAATGACAAGAAAACAAGCAATCTGATTTTTAAATGAGAAAAAATTGATATTTTAATTGAGGATGATATTTAAATGGCAATTAAGCACATCAAAAAGTGCTCAACATCTGTTGTCATTAATGATATACAAACTAAAACCAAAATAAGATAGCATTACATACCCGTTATTGTGGCTAAGACTACAAAAACTTGACAATAACATGTGCTGACAAGACTAAACAACTGGAACTCTCATATATTGCCAGTTGGGATGCAATATGCTACAATCACTTTGGAAAAGTTTTGACAGTTTCTTTTTTAATTAAATGTACACTTACCATGCAAACCAGTATTTCCACTCAATATTTGTACTAAAGAAAACAAACATATGTTCACAGAAAAACCTGCATACAAATGTTTATTGCAGCTTTATACTTATTATCAAAACCTGGAAGAATGCATACTGGTACATGTAACAACATAGAGGTATGTCAAAAGCATTATGCTAAATGAAAGAAGCCAGACTCAAAAATTACATACTGTGTGATTCTCGAATATGGTATTTTGGATGAGAGAATTTATAAAGAATGAAAAATTGGTGTTTTCCAGGGGCTGCATGTGTTGGGTGTGTGACCAGGGAGGAAGGAGTACAATGGAGCATGCAGAAACTTTTTGAGGTGGTGGAACTATTTTTTATTTTGACTGTTGTGATTACATGTCCACCAAAAACTTAGAGAAAGGCCTGCCTTTGTCAAAACTCATAGAACTATACACCGAAAGGATACATTTTATATATTTAATTTTTTTTCAATAAACTTGACTGGGAAGAATTCCAGAATGAATTTCTTCACCCAGGTCATAACCATAGCTAACATTTAAGTTTACTTTCTTTTATTTCTATATGTGTGTATGCTACTGTGATACACACATACACATGTGCATACATATGTGTGTATATATATGTATCTGCATATATATGTGTGTGTTTCTGTGTGTGGGGGTGTGTGTGCATAAAATATACACACATACATACAGGTTTTGGTCTACAGTTCCTGGCTCATAATTCCCAAAGCCCTTGTTATAGTAAACAGAGTCAATCTCTCTCTCCCTCTGAACTTCTCCTGCTCTCCTTTCAACTGGCCATGGCAGGATTCTAATCTGATTGTGAGTCATAAAACAATCATTTCAGAAAGGGTCCTGCCCCCTACCGTGGAGTAAAGAATGCCGCACAGAGGACAAGAAGAATCTGAACAGACAGGCCTTACTGAGTTTATATCACATCATTTCTGTCCAATCACATTTCAATATGGTTGTCCATGCTTCAATCCTGTCTCTCCAATAAAATCCCTATTAAAAGATCCAAGAGAACAAGGTTTGAAGAGCTTCCAGATAGCTGAACATGTCGAGGTTCCTGGGGGGTGTTGCACCCAGAGAGGACATGAAAGCTCCATGTTCCTTTGTATACGCCTTGCCCTATGCATCTTTTCATCTGTCTTCTTTGTAATATCGCTTATAATAAAATGGTAAATTTGTTTTCATGAGTTCTGTGAGCCACTCCAGCAAATTAATCAAACCCAAAGAGTGGATTGTGGGAACCCCAACTTGAAGCCAGTTGATCAGAAGTTCAGGATGGCCTGGACATGCAAAAGGTGTCTGGAGGAGTGGGCATGGGGGAACTTGGGAAACTGAGTCCCCAAGCTCTGGGACCTGACTCTATCTCCAGGTAATGTTGGAGTTGAATTGGAGAATACTCAGTTGGTGTTCACTACAGAATTAATTGCTCACTTGGTGATGGGGAAAAACCCCTGCCTACATTTGGTCTCAGAAGTCTTCCGTGTTGATAACTGTTGTCTTGAGAGAATAGGCAAAAGCCCTTAGTGTGTTTTACACATAAACAATTATAATGTATGCATATTTTTATCCTGCATTTAATACCTACTGAGAGCATTTCTTATCTTTAACTCATCTTCCAAAATGTAATGTTAAAAAAATTTAGTATTATCAAATCTCATCTTATGGAAAAATAACTAGTGTGCAAAAATGTATTTGTTAATTATTATTAAAAGTTGTAATGTTGGCAGCTGGCAAGATGGCCGAATAGGAATAGCTCCAGTCTGCAGCTCCCAGTGAGATCAACGCAGAAGGTGGGTGATTTCTGCATTTCCAACTGAGGCACCTAGTTCATATCAATGTGACTGGTTAGACAGTGGGTGCAGCCCACGGAGTGCGAGCAGAAGCAGGGTGGGGTGTCGCCTCACCTGGGAAGTGCAAGGGGTCAGGGAACTCCCTCCCCTAGCCAAGGGAAGCCATGAGGGACTGTGCCATGAGGAACCGTGCACTCTGGCCCAGATACTACACTTTTTCCACTGTCTTCACAACCTGCAGACCAGGAGATTCCCTCCGGTGCCTATGCCACCAGGGCCCTGGGTTTCAAGCACAAAACTGGATGGTCATTTGGGCAAACACTGACCTAGCTGCAGGAGTTTCTTTTCATACCCCAGTGGCTCCTGGAACACCAGAGAGACAGAATCCTTTACTCCCCTGGAGAAGGGGCTGAAGTTAGGAAGCCAAGTGGTCTAGCTCAGTGGATTCCAGCCCCACGGAGCCTAGCAAGCTAAGCTCCACTGGCTTGAAATTCTCACTACCGGCACAACAGTCTGAAGTCGACCTGGGATGCTCCAGCTTGGTGGGGGGAGGGGTGTCCACCATTACTGAGGCTTGAGTAGGTGGTTTTCCCCTCACAGCATAAACAAAGCCGCCAAGAAGTTCAAACTGGGCAGAGCCCACCACAGCTTGACAAAACCACTGTAGCCAGACTGCTTCTCTAGATTCCTCCCCTCTGAGCAGAGCATCTCTGAAAGAAAGGCAGCAGCCTCAGTCAGGGGCTTATCGATAAAACTTACATCTCCCTGGGACAGAGCACCTGGGGGAAGGGGCGGCTATGGGTGCAGCTTCAGCAGATTTAAACATTCCTGCCTCCCAGCTCTGTAGGGAGCAGTGGATCTCCAAGCGCAGCACTCAAGCTCTGCTAAGGGACAGACTGCCTCCTCAAGCAGGTCCCTGATCCCCCTACCTCCTGACTGGGAGACACCTCCCAGGAGGGGTCGACAGACACTTCATACAGGAGAGCTCCCACTGGCATCTGGCGGGTGCCCCCTGGGACGAAGCTTCCAGAGGAAGGAACAGGCAGCAATCTTTGCTGTTCTGCAGCCTCTGCTAGTGATAGCCAGGCAAACAGCGTCTGGAATGGACCTCCAGCAAACTCCAACAGACCTGCAGCAGAGGGTCCTGATTGTTAGAGGAAAACTAACAAACAGAAAGGAATGGTATCAACATCAACAAAAAGGACTTCTACACCAAAACCCCAATTGAAAGTCACCAAAATAAAAGACTTTGGTCTTTGAATCTTTGTAGATAAATCCACAAAGATGGGGAGAAACCAGCGCGAAAAGGCTAAAAATTGCAAAAACCAGAACACCTCTTCTCCTCCAAAGGATCACAACTCCTCGCCAGCAAGGGAACAAAACTAGACAGAGAAAGACTCTGAGAAATTGGCAGAAGTTAGGCTTCAGAAGGTGGCTTCAGAAGTTAGTTCTTCAGAAGGAGCATGTTCTAACCCAATGCAAGAAAGCTAAGAACCTTGAAAAAAGGTTAGAGGAATTACTAACTAGAATAACCAGTTTAGAGAAGAACATACATGACTTGATGGAGCTGAAAAACACAGCACAAGAACTTCATGAAGCATACACAAGTATCAATAGCCAAATCCATCAAGCAGAAGAAACGATATCAGAGATTGAAGATCAACTTAATGAAATAAAGTGTGAAGACAAGATTCGAGGAAAAAGAATGAAAAAGAAGCAACCAAGCCTCCAAGAAATATGGGACTATGTGAAAAGACCAAACCTATATTTAATTGGTATACCTGAAAGTGATGGGGAGAATGGAACCAAGCTGGAAAACACCCTTCAGGATATTATCCAGGAGAACTATTGGCCTAGCAAGACAGGCCAATATTCAAATTCGGGAAATACAGAGAACACCACAAAGATAGTCCTCGAGAAGAGCAACCCCAAGACACATAATCATCAGATTCAACGAGGTTGAAATGAAGAAAAAAAATGTTAAGGGCAGCCAGAGAGAAAGGTTGGGTTACCCAAAAAGGGAAGCCCATCAGACTAACAGCAGATCTCTTGGCAGAAACCCTACAAGCCAGAAGAGAATGGGGGCCAATATTCAACATTCTTAAAAAGAAGAATTTTCAACCCAGAATTTCATATCCAGCCAAACTAAGCTTTGCAAGCGAAGGAGAAATAACCTTTCCAGACAAGCAAATGCTGAAGAGATTCTGTCACCACCAGGTCTGCCTTACAAGAGCTCCCAAAGGAAGCACTAAGCATGGAAAGGAACAACCAGTACCAACCACTGCAAAAACATAACCAATCGTAAAGACCATCGACATTATGAAGAAACTGTATCAACTAATGGGCAAATTAACCAGCTAGCATCATAATGACAGGATCAAACTCACACATAACAATGTTAACCTTAAATGTAAACAGGCTAAATGCTCCAATTAAAAGACACAGACTGGCAAATTGGATAAAGAGTCAAGAGCCATCGGTGTGCTGTATTCAGAAGACCCATCTCAAGTGCGAAGACACACATAGGCTCAAAATGAAGGGATGGAGAAATATTTACCAAGCAAATCAAAGAAAAGAAAAGCAGGGGTTGCAATCCTAGTCTCTGATAAAACAGACTTTAAACCAACAAAGATCAAAAGAGACAAAGAAGGGCATTACCAAATAATAATAAATTGATAAAGGGATCAATGCAACAAGGAGCGCTAAATATCCTAAATATATATGCACCCAATACAGGAGAACCCAGATTCATAAAGTAAATTCTTAGAGACCTACAAAGAGACTTAGACTCCCACATAATAATAGTGGGAGACTTTAACACTCCACTGTCAATATTAGGCAGATAGACCAGACAGAAAATTAACAAGGATATTCAGGATTTGAACTCACCTGTGGACCAAGTGGAACTAATAGACATCTACAGAACTGTCCACCCCAAATCAACAGAATATACATTATTCTCAGCACCACATTTCACTTATTCTAAAATTGACCACATCATTGGAAATAAAACACTCCTAAACAAATGCAAAAGAATAGAAATCATAAACAGCCTCTCAGAACACAGTGCAATCAAATTAGAACTCAGGATTAAGAAACTCACTCAAAACTGCACAACTACATGGAAACAGAACAATCTGCTCCTGAACAACTACTGCATAAATAATGAAATTAAGGGAGAAATAAATAAGTTCTGTGAAACCAATGAGAACAAAGACATAACATATCAGTATCTCTGGGACACAGCTAAAGCAGTGTTTAGAGGGAAATTTATAACATTAAATGCCCACAAGAGAAAGCAAGAAAGATGTAAAATAGACACCTCATATCTAACGGAGAAGCAAGAGCAAACCAATTCAAAAGCTAACAGAAGACGAGATAACTAAGATCTGAGCAGAACTGAAGAAGGAACACGAAAAACCCTTCAAAAAATCAATGAATTCAGGAGGTAGTTTTTTTAAAAGATCATAAAAATAGATAGAACACTAGCCAGACTAAAAAAGAAGAAAAGAGAGAAGAATCAGTAGACACAATAAAAGATGATAAAGGGGATATCACCACTGGTCCCACAGAAATACAAACTACCATCAGAGAATACTATAAACACCTCTATGCAAATAAACTAGAAAAACTAGAAGTGGATAAATTCCTGGACACATACACCCTCTCAAGTCTAAACTAAGAAGAAGCCCAATCCCTGAATAGACCAATAACAAGTTCTGAAATTGAGGCAGTAATTAATAGCCTATCAACCAAAAAAAGTCCAGGACCAGACGGATTCATAGCCAAATTCTACCAGAGGTACAAAGAGGAGCTGGTACCATTCCTTCTGAAACTATTCAAAACAATAGAAAAAGAGGGACTCCTCCCTAAGTCATTTTATGTGGCCAGGATAATCTGGATACCAAAACCTGGCAGAGACATAACAAAAAAAGAAAATTTCAAGCCAATATCCCTGATGAAGATCGATGCAAAAATCCTCAATAAAATACTGGCAAACCAAATCCAGCAGCAAATTAAAAAGCTTATCCACCACAATCAAGTCAGCTTCATCCCTGGGATGCAAGGATGGTTAAACATACACAAAGCAATAAATGTTATCCATTATATAAACAGAACCAATGACAAAATGACATGATTATCTCAATAGATGCAGAAAAGGCCTTCAACAAAATTCAACAGCAGTTCATGCTAAAAACTCTCAATAAACTAAGTCTCTCAAAATATTAAGGGCTATTTATAACAAACCCACAGCCAATATCATACTGAATGGGCAAAAACTGGAAGCATTCCCTTTGAAAATGGGCATAAGAAAAGAATGCCCTCTCTCTCCACTCCTGTTCAACATAGCATTGAAAGTTCTGGCCAGAGCAATCCCATCTCTACTAAAAATGCAAAAAAATCAGCCAGCCAAGGTGGTGGGTGCCTGTAGTCTCAGCTAGTTGGGAGGCTGAGGCAGGAGAATGGCATGATCCCGGGCGGCTGAGCTTGCAGTGAGCCGAGATTGTGACACTGCACAGCCTGGGTGACAGAACGAGACTCTGTCTCAAAAACAACAAAAACAAAAGAATGGCGATCATTAAAAAGTCAGGAAACAACAGGTGCTGGAGAGGATGTGGAGAAATAGGAACACTTTTACACTGTTGGTGGGAGTGTGAATTAGTTCAACCATTGTGGAACACAGTGTGGCAACTCCTCAAGGATCTGGAACCAGAAATACCACTTGACCCAGCAATCCCATTACTGAGTATATAACCAAAGGATTATAAATCATTCTACTACAAAGATACATGCACACTTATGTTTATTTCAGCACTGTTCACAATAGCAAAGACTTGGAACCAACCCAAACACTCATCAATGATAGACTGGATAAAGAAAATGTGGCACATATACATCATAGAATACTATGCAGCCATAAAAAAGGATGAGTTCATGTCCTTTGCAGGGACATGGATGAAGCTGGAAACCATCATTCTCAGCAAACTAACACAAGAACAGAAAACCAAACACCACATGTTCTCACTCATAAGTGGGAGTAGAACAATGAGAACACATGGACACAAGGAGGGGAATGTCACACACCGGGGCCTCTCAGAGTGGGGGACTAGGGGAAGTATAGCATTAGAAGAAATACCTAATGTAGATTACAGGTTGAAGGGTGCAGCAAACCACCATGGCACATGTATACCTATGTAACAAACCTGAATGTTCTGCACATGTATCCCAGAACCTGAAATATAAAAAAAATTTTAAAGAGGGCATAATGTTTGCAAAGTTTGATAATCCAATTGCTATACAAATTCAAATGTTTTTGTGTTCATTTTTTACTTATTCATTTGTTTTGTTCACTTTATCATTCAACACACACTTAAGCCTCACTGATAAAAAAAACAGTAAGAAATTAAGTGAGTTCATGATCTCAGAGATGTGACTGAGTAGTGAGAACACAACCAATTCAACAAATAATTATAATCCTGGTGACATATGTTACAAAAAAGGTACAAAAAATTGAATTCTTTATATTTTTCATAAGTTACGATGAGACTTTCATAGTGAATCATTTTATACAGCTAATTACCACTAAGTTTAATTGTTTGGTAAATTTGCATTTATATGCCTATGTTAGTGAGATTTTCTTTGGTTATAGTGGGATTCTGTCTACGTACACTTTGAAAATACTCTGTACAATCCTATGACGTGCAGCTTTAACATCATGCCATTCATTTTTTTCACTTGTCATATTTAAGCCATAATTCTCTCTAGTAAAATTCTTGCTCCTGAACAAGATTTCTCTTGGTGTGGAACCAGGATGACCAAGAACTAGAAGGACCCAACTCTTGGTAGGGCCTTTTCTCTATCATCAGAGGTCATCAAGTCTTTTGCCCAATAGTCTGTTTTTAATCCTTAATTAGCAACACAGAAACAATAGTTTATTTCATGCTTTACCATGAAGTTTATGTGCCTTTTGCCCCAAAGGTTTTTATGAACAGCCCAAACACACACACACACACACTCCATTCATACTTCTGAAGAGCCTATATCTCATCTCTGAATAAAGCTGCCCAGAGAGAGAAGGTGCTACGTTTGAATTACACTGTTTTGGGGTCCTCAGAATTGCAGTGAGGTGTCCTCAATCAGCTTGCCCTGCTTCCTCAGCTATCATGATGGATATTGTAAAATCAGGATGCCATAGCATAAATGATGGTAAAGTATCATAAGGAAGCTGTTTATATGAGTTCGCTAGGGCTAACATAACAAAATACCACAGACTGGGTGGCCTAAACAATAGAAATTTATTTCATGATAGTTCTGGAGGCTAGAAGTCCACAGTCGAGGTGTCAATATCCTTGCTTTCTCCAGAGGCGTCTGTCCTTGGCCTGCAATTCATCACCTTCTTGTGTTTTCATAAGGTTTCTCCTTTGTATACACACATACACACACACACACACACACACACACACACACACACACACACACACACACAGAGGTCTGTGTCCTAACCTCCTCTTTTTATAAGGACAGCAGTCCTATTGAATTAGGGCTCACCCATATGTCCTCATTTACCTGAATTACCACTTTAAAGACCCTATCTCTAAATACAGTCATATTCTGAGTTACTGGGGGTTAGGACTTCAACATATGAATTTGGAACTGGGGGAGAATGCAATTAAGTCCATAAGACTGCCATTACATTTACTAAAGATATGCTACTTTAAAAAGCGTTCACCATATAATCATAGAAAGAGATGTACTACTGACTTTGAACTAAACAATTTATTGTTCTCTTTATGGAGTGATAGGTTTTCAAATAGTGCAAATCATGTAAATAATGTTGTTTCACATTTTGCTTTGGCCACCAGGAACCCGAAGCTCGACTTAAATAACTGCGTTTTACATAACACTACAGTCTCTACTTAAATTTTAACTTTCTCCTCGATTTTGATCAATTCATTTACTTGCTTTGCCAGAATCTTGATTCTTATGTTTTATCCATTTTCTTGTATGCTGTATGCAATATGACACCCTGCATGGCCAGATTATATGAAAAAGCAAACCTGAAAAACACCTAACATCCAAGTGACTGAAACTATGCCCCTAACAGTTAAGGAAACATGACTAACAGAAATTCTTGAGCTTGCAGGAAGGCAGGAAAACAACTTGCTGAAATGCTGAAACTCCCTTTTCCCAGGTTTGTAAGATGATAAAACTGGCTGAAACCCATTGGAACCAATATGGCTAATTGGAGTTTGCACAGAATGAGCTTGCGGACTTCACATTTCCACCATACTTTTCATGATAACGCCCCGAAGTTGCACGTGGGACCCGTGAGGTAGCATGAATGGATAACTGCACATTCCCAAAGACTTTCCAGCTCTTGTCTTTCCTTCCACCAATCACCTACTAATCCCAGAATCCATTTCCTAAATGTTTTCTAATAAAATGACTCCCTTAAGGCCAGCACAGGGAGACAGATTTGAGGTGGACTACTGTCTCCCTGTGAGTCAATTTGCAGTAAAATGTTTTCTTTTCTAAAAAACCCAGCGTCATAGTATTGGCTTCTAGCGCACGGGGCAGCAAGCCTCTTTTGCTTGATAACGTGACCACAGGTGACTTCATCGGATTTTTCTGAGATGTGGAAGATGTATCGCTTTAAGCAATAGCATATCTAGCGAAAACTACATTTCTGTGGGCTAGTTGACTCCAGTAGATATTTATTGTCTTTTGGTCACAAACTCCTCTAAAATTTGAGAAAAAAAGTTCTAAAACCTATTTCCTATCTAAAGACAGCACAGTGTTTGTGCTGTTTAAGAGTACAAGGCCGGGCATGGAGGCTCACCCCTGTAATCCCAGCACTTTGGGAGGCCGATGTGGGTGGATCACGAGGTCAGGCATTCGAGACCAGCCTGGCCAACATGGTGAAACCCCATCTCTACTTAAAAAAAAAATAAATAAATTAGGCATGGTGGCAGGCGCCTGTAATCCCAGCCACTCGGGAGGCTGAAGCAGGAGAATCACTTGAATCTGGGACGCGGAGGTTGCAGCAAGCCGAGATCGCGCCATTGCATTCCAGCCTGGGTGACAGAGCGAGACTCCGTCTCAAAAAAACAAAAAGAAAAAAATGCTGGCTTGACCCCTTAGTGGTTGTGATGCCCTAGGCAAGTTACATACAATATTTGTATAATACATCTCTTTTTTTTTTTCACTGTAATACAAGGATACTGTGAATATTTACATTCTAGTTTGCCATGATGATCAAATGAGTAAAAACTCTTAGAACAGTTCCAAACAAATAGGACCTGTTTGTTCATTATGAACTAATATCACCTGAGGAAAATGCACTCAAAAATGTGTGTATAGTGTTAGAATTTTCACAGACACCAAAAAACTCCCATTCCCCCATGTATTCCTGGGGTCAACGAGCCCCAATTAATAACTCCTGCGCTACACATTTTATCATAAACAGCACATTAAAAAGTTGAATTAAACCTATAAACACATAATGTTTCTAGTTTTAGTCTGATACTTGCTGAGCATCCACAGAATGTGAGACAGAGGAGTGCTGAAGTATTGTTATATTGTTTTGTGCTTTATTGCATTTTTTCTAAAGAAGTAAAAAGAATACTTAGTCCAAATGGCATTGGGCTGTAAAGTGCTATTTTACCATATTTTCTTCTGGGAAATACTGGGTATTAAGGCCTTTTTTCACTTTTTTCTCTCACAACAATTAGGGAGCATCTCCTTGGTTCAAGGCAGTCAGCTAGAGACAGAGATTAAGTGTTGGGTCTTTCCAAGCTGAGACTCAATGTGGACTGTGGCCAAATCAATGAAACCACAGAAATCGGTATTGATTGTGAAGACAATCAAAACGATGAACTGAAGGATGAACTCTTTGTGCTGGCTTCCCTACCACATATGGAAAATCTCAATCATCAGATTTCCAACTATAATTTATAGTAGCATAAACTCTCCTTTTTTCCTTATTTTATTCATCCAAAGATTGTTAAAGATACCATTTGTATGCGTTTCCATGCATGTCATTAACTAAAATAAATGGAAATACGAGAAGTGTTAAACTAAATTCAGTCTGTTTATGTTAACATAAAATTGTTTTTAATTTTTTTCCATCCAAACCCTCACATGACCAACTCATCCATGCAGCCTTAAAAAATTGAGGACTGAATAAAAAATGAATGGGGTGTGCTTGATATGAACAATAAAGAAGATAAAATCCTTTTCGTGAAGGCTTATATTTTGTTACATAAAAGCTCTGCATTCTTCCATTATTGTGTCTTTAAAATACTCTTTAGTTTTCAAATAGTTTTGCTTTAGCTTTGTTTCAGCAGTGATATTCTTTTCTTTGAAGCAGTTTGCCCACAGCTCTTTAAGCCTTCGTGTGTAAATTAAAGGGAATGAAAAAATAGCTAGCATGTGGCATTCTAGAGACATTTACACTCCATCATAATTGCCACAAACATTCTTGTTAAATTTAATTCATTGATGTACCTGGTCCAAACTATTTTTTATCCTAAGAATAAAGTACATAGATTACTTATTTTCTAATTCCTATTTACTAATATCTGACCAGTAAAAAAAAAAATTAGTTAGGTAGAAAGTGTTTATATGAAGTTCAACAACTATGGAAGAATTTTCTACATGGGCACAGCCTTTAGTAGTTTCTGCTTCAATTTGACTTTTGTAAATACAGTTGACCTTGAACAACATGGGCTTGAACTGCATGGGTCCACTTATATACGGATAATTTCCAATAAATGTCTCCAGCCTCACCTTCCACCTCTTCTGCTTCTGCCGCCCCAAGACAGAAAGACCAACCTCTCCTCTTCCTCTGCCTCCTGAGCCTTCTTGAAGGACCTCTGGGATAATCTACTCCCATTTAATGAACCAGTAAATATATATTTTCTCTTTTTTATGATTTTCTTAATAACATTTTCTTTTCTCTACCTTACTTTATTGTAATAATACAGCAAATAATGCATATAATATACAAAATACATGTTAATTGACTATTTATGTTATTGGTAAGGCTTCTGGTCAACAGTGGGCTATTAATAGTTGAATTTTTCAAAGGTCAAAAATTATACATGAATTTTCAACTGCACAAGGACTGGGGCTTCTAGCCCCCAATTGTTCAAGAGT
The DNA here is from genome assembly GCF_000001405.40 of Homo sapiens. NCBI lineage: Eukaryota > Metazoa > Chordata > Mammalia > Primates > Hominidae > Homo > Homo sapiens. The sequence continues at coordinate 115,655,074 of NC_000006.12, forward strand.
CAACTGTATATTGTATTAAGATCCAATAAATAATCTTATAAAAATTTAAAAATATATCTATAATAAAATTAAATTAGCAATGAGATTAAATAATTGTTTGAGGGTTGATGCCAGTGTTTCACTAAACAAAATAAATGTCTTAAATTTCCCTTTATTATTTTAGGGTGAAATCATGAAACATCAATGAAATGAAAAAAAAACAGACTCATTTTCACTACAGTGTCACTAGGAGAAATTTAACTCAAATGAACATTAATTGTGGTTTTGATATGTCCTTATTATGTAATAATTTAGGCTCCTATGTAAACACACTGGCACAAGGAAATTACACCTTCTGAAAAAATTAGTCACACATATGCTAAGATAGTCATTAGTGGAAAGAGAAAACAAACTAAGGAATGAAAGGGGCATTTAAAAACTAATTCTGAATTGAATAAAGACAAAGGAAACATGGAGGGAGCATGTTTTAATTTTAGCATTTAACACTAGAAATAGATAAGAAATCAAGACACCAGTCAGATCTATGATTACAAAAGCTAGAATCTTGACAAACTTAGAAGAGAGTGGAAACAAACCAACTTTCCATCATCAGATGAATAAATCAACATAATGTGGTGGATGCATGCAATGAAAAATTATTCAGACATAAAAAGAAATAAAGTTCTGATATGTGCTACAAACAAGGAAAACCTTAAAAACCTTATGCTAAATGAAATAAGCCAAATACAGAGGGAGAAATATATGGTTCCGCTTATCTGAACTGTATAAAATAGGCAAATGTACAGAGACAGAAGCAAATTAGAGCTTCACAGGAACTTCGTGGAGGAAAGAATGAGGAGTAACTGGTTAGTGAGTACAGAGTTTCTGTTTGAGTTAATGAAAAATATTGGTAGAGAGTGGTGATGTTTTTACAACAATGAGAATGTAATTCCACTGAATGTAGTACACTGAAATGGCTAAAATGGCAAATTTTATATGTATTTTATCAGAATTTTATAAGAAGAGGACATATCATGGGCAGGGATGAGGAAGGGGCTATAGGTCAAAAACAGCAGGAAAAAAATGCATATTAAGCACTTAGCATGGAGATAATGCATGTATCTGGCATGTGTCATGTACTCAACTAACACTGGGTTGCTTTTAAAGGGGAAAAAGAAGGATTCTCATTTTTATTTATTTATTTTTATTTTTATTTTTTATTTTTCCCTAAGTTATTGGGGTACAGGTGGTATTTGGTTACATGAGTAAGTTCTTTAGTGATGATTTGTGAGATTTTGATGCATCCATCACTCGAGCAGTATACACTGCACCCTATTTGTGGTCTTTTATCCCTTGCCTCCCTCCCACCCTTTCCCCCAAGTCCCCAAAGTCCATTGTATCATTCTTATGCCTTTGCATCCTCACAGCTTAGCTCCCACATATCAGTGAGAACATATGATGTTTGCTTTTCCATTCCTGTATTACTTCACTTAGAATAGTAGTCTCCAATCTTATCCAGGTCACTGCAAATGCCATTAATTCATTCCTTTTTACAGCTGAATAGTATTCCATCATATATATGTATACCACAGTTTCTTTATCCTCTCCTTGATTGATGGGCATTTGGGTTGGTTCCACAATTTTGCAATTGCAAATTGTGCAGCTGTAAACATTTGTGCACAAGTATCATTTTCGTATGACTTCTTTTCCTCTGGATAGATACCCAGTAGTGGGATTGCTGGATCAAATAGTAGTTCCACTTTTAGCTTTTTAAGGAATTTCCACGCTGTTTTCCACAGTGGCTGGACTAGTTTACATTCCCATCAGCAGCGTGGAAGTGTTCCCTGATCACCACATCCACACCAACATCTACCGTTTTTGATTTTTTGATTATGGCCATTCTTGTAGGAGTAAGGTGGTATCGCATTGTAGTTTTGATTTGCATTTTCCTGATCATTAGTGATGTTGAACATTTTTTCATATGTTTTTGGCCATTTTTATATCTTCTTTTGAGAACTGTCTATCCATGTCCTTAGTCCACTTTTTGATGGGATTGTGTGTGGTTTTTTTTTCTTACTGATTTGAGTTTGTTGCAGATTCTGGATATTAGTCCTTTGTCAGGCATATAGATTGGGTTGTCTATTTACTCTACTGACAGTTCCTTTGGCCGTCCAAAAGCTCTTTAGTATAATTAGGTCCCAACTATTTATCTTTGTTTTTATTGTGTTTGCTTTTGGGTTCTTGGTCATGAAATCCTTGCCTAAGCCAGTTTCTAGAAGGGTTTTTCCAATGTTCTTTTCCAGAATTTTTATAGTTTCAGGTCTTAGATTTAAACCCTTAATCAATCTTGAGTATATTTTTGTGTAAGGTGAGAGATGAGGATCTAGTTTCATTCTCCTACATGTGGCTAGCCAATTATCCCAGCATCATTTGTTGAAAAGGGTGTCATTTCCCCACTTTATGTTTTTGTTTACTTTGTCAAAAATCAGTTGACTGTAAGTATTTGGGTTTATTTCTGGGTTCTCTATTCATTTCCACTGGTCTATGTGCCTATTTTTGTACAAGTACCATGCTGTTTTGGTGACTATGGCCTTATAGTATAGTTTGAAATCAGGTAGTGTGATGCCTCCAGATTTGTTATTTTTGCTTAGTCTTGCTTTGGCTATGCGGGCTCTTTTTTGGTTCCATATGAATTTTAGAATTGTTTTTTTCTAATTCTGTAAATAATGATGCTGGTATTTTGATTGGAATTGCATTGAATTTGTAGATTGCTTTTGGCAGTATGGTCATTTTCACAGTATTGATTCTATCCACCCATGGGCATGGGATGTGTTTCCATTTGTTTGTGTCATCTACGATTTCTTTCAGCAGTGTTTTGTAGTTTTCTTTGTAAAGGTCTTTAGCCTCCTTGGTTAGGTATATTCCGAATTATTTTAATTTTTTTGCAGGTATTGTAAAAGTGGTTGAGTTCTTCATTTGCTTCCCCACTTGGTCGCCGTTGGTGTATAGAAGAGCTACTGATTTGTGTACATTAATCTTGTATCCAGAAACTTTGCTGAATTCTTTTATTAGTTCTAGGAGCTTACTGGAGGAGTCTTTAGGGTTTTCAAGGTAAATGACCATATCGTCAGCAAACAGTGACAGTTTGACTTCCGCTTTACCAATTTGAATGCCATTATTTCTTTCTCTTGTCTGATTGCTCTGGCTAGGACTTCCAGTACTCTGCTGAAGAGGAGTGGTGAGAGTGGGCATCCTTGTCTTGTTCTAGTTCTCAGAGGGAATGCTTTCAACTTTTCCCCATTCAGTATTATGTTGGCTGTGGGTTTGTCATAGATGGCTTTTATTACATTGAGGTATGTCTTTTGTACGCCTATTTTGCTGAGAGTTTTAATCATAAAGGGATCCTGGATTTTTGTCTAATGTTTTTCCTGCATCTATTAAGATGATCATGTGGTTTTTGCTTTTAATTCTGTTTATGTAATGTATCATATTTATTGACTTGCAAATGTTAAATCATCCCTGCATCCTTGGTATAAAACCCACTTGATCATGGTCAATTATCTTTTCAATATGTTGTTGTATTCAATTAGCTAGTATTTTGTTAAGGATTTTGGCATCTATGTTCATCAAGGATTTCTGTCTGTATTTTTTTTTTTTTTTGGTTAATATCAAAACTTTCCTGATTTTGGTAATAGGGAGATCCTGGCTTCATAGAATGAATTAGAGAGGGTTCCTTCTTTCTCTATCCTGTGGAATAATGTCAAAAGGATTGGTACCAATTGTTCTTTGAATGTCTGGTAGAATTCTGCTGTGCCACCTTCTGGTCCTGGACTTTTTTTTTTTTTGCTGGTAATTTTTGATTTACCATTTCAATCTCATTGCTTGTTATTGGTCTGTTCAGGGTATCTAATTCTTCCTAATTTAAGCTAGGAGGTTTGTATTTTTTCAGGAATCTATCCATCTCTTCTAGTTTTTCTAGTTTATGTGCATAAAGGTGTTCATAGTAGCCTCGAATGATCTTTTGTATTTCAGTGGTGTCAGTTGTAATATCTTCTGCTTTGTTTCTTAATGAGGTTATTTGGATTTTCTCTCTTCTTTTCTTGGTTAATCTTGCCAGTGGTCTATCAATTTTATTTATCTTTTCAAAGAAACAGCTTTTTGTTTCACTTATCTTTTGCATTTTTTTTTTTGTTTTAATTTCGTTTAGTTCTGCTCTCATCTTGTTTATTTCTTTTCTTCTGCTGGGTTTGAATTTGGGTTTGGTTTATTCTTGTTTCACTAGTTCCTTGAGTTGTGACCTTAGAATGTCAGTTTTTTTCTCTTTCAGTCTTTCTGATGTAGGCATTTAGGGCTATGAACTTTCTCCTCAGTACCGCCTTTGCTGTATCCCCGAAGTTCTGATAGGTTGTGTCATTATTGTTGTTCAGTTCGAAGAATTTTTTAATTTCCATCTTGATTTTGTTTTTGACCCAATGCTCATAGAGGAGCAGGTTATTTAATTTCCATGTATTTGCATGGTTTTGAAGGTTCCTTTTGGAGTTGATTTCCAGTTTTCTTCCACTGTGGTCTGAGAGAGTGGTTGATATAATTTCAATTTTCTTAAATGTATTGAGGCTCATTTTGTGGCCTATCATATGGTCCGTCTTGGAGAAAGTTCCAGGCACTGTTGAATAGAATATGTTTTCTGGGGTTGGTGGATGAAATGTTCTGTATATATCAGTTAAGTCCATTTGTTCCAAGGTATAGTTTAAATCCATTGTTTCTTTGTTGACTTTCTGTCTTGATTACCTGTCTAGTGCTTTCAACGGAGTACTGAAGTCCCCCATTATTATTGTGTTGCTGTCTATCTCATTTCTTAGGTCTGTTAGTAATTGTTTTATAAATTTGGGAGCTCCAGTGTTAGGTGCATATACGTTTAGGTCTGTGACATTTTCCTGTTAGACAAGGCCTTTTACCATTATATAATGTCCCTCTTTGTCTCTTTTAACAGTTGTTGCTTTAAAGTTTGTTTTGTCTGATATAAGAATAGCTACCTTTGGTGTCCATTTGCATGAAATGCCTTTTTCCTACCAAGCCACCACTACAAGAACTGCTAAAAGGAGCTCTAAATTTTGAAATAAATCCTGGAAACACATAAAAACAGAACCACTTTAAAGTATAAATTACACAGGACCTATGAAACAAAAATACAAGGTAAAAAGCAAAAACAAAACAAGGTACACATGCAACAAATAGCATGATGAATGCAATGGTACCTCACATCTCAACACTAATATTGAATATAAATAGCCTAAATGCTCCACTTAAAACTGCAGAATGGGTAAAAACTCACCAACCAACTATCTGCTGCCTTCAGGAGCCTCACCTAACACATAAGGACTCACATAAACTTAAAGTAAAGGGATTCTCATCTTTAAAAGGATGGAATTCACAGGACTGGAATGGCAGTATAAACTCTCGCTCCTTCATACCCTATCCTGGATAGAGTACAAAGCTTTAAATCAGTAGTTATTTGGTATGTGTTTGTTGAGTGACAAGTTGAACAAGATTGAGCCTGGTTACCTTGAAGGGGTCAATATCACCTCTGCTTTCTTGGGGAAGAAACAACCTGGGGTAGCATAAATAATAGAGAATGGCAAAGCCCTCAGTAAAATAATAATAATAATGATTTAAAAATTTAAGTCAGTGAAGAGAAAAAGCATTGAAATCTCAGATATATGGAATTGCAGAATGTTCTAGCTAGAAACTAGAACTCTATATTAAACTCAAACTTTTACAGATTAGAAAATTATACTTAAGGAGAAAATGGAAATGAAAAGGATATGTGAAAAAGAAATAACATGAAAATGAGTTAACCACAGCCAAATAGACCCATGCAAACGTCTTTGGGTTTTATCAATATCTTTAATTCAGAGAGTATTGTCTTGTACTACTTCTCCCATGCCTAGTATATTGCTTTGTTATATTGCATGAAGTAATCAGAAATATTAATTAGCCAGTTGATTTTGGTATCTATGCACTAAAGGGATTAATGTAACCATGCTGCAAATATCAGAATAGGCAGAAGAGCAAAATTTCTAATCCGTGTGCCTAGTATGCATAATTCATATTAGACAACATTAAAAATAGAAACCTGTAGACAAAAATGTCCTTATCCTTCTAGTTTATAGTTATGCTTTTTAAAAAGCAAAATTACTAAAAGAAAACCCTTATTTTAAGAAAAAAATATATTGTAGTAACTATCCTTTTAATGGTACCTGTGTTCTGTGTTGGAATATAGCTGCTCTTCTCTTCCCAAAAGTATGCTAAACAAACAAATCAAAAACCTCTACCAGGCTACATAAGAGCTACTAAGTAAACCATGAAAATATATCATACCGGATAAACAAACCCAATTAGAAGAAAGGGCAAAAAGTTTCAAGTGCTGTGAATAAAAGAGACACAAAATAGAATCAGGCTATACATAGATTACATATCTTTCTTCCAAGGACTCAGTCCCAAAGGAGTACAAACTTCATCTATAGTATTCTAATGTCAATAGAATATTTGAACTTTGTGCCATTATTATCTATATTCTATTAGAAAGTACTTTTATCCTTAAATTTTCCATTCTTAGTGTATTGTTTCATGTTATCTATAAATATTATTATATTCAGAGGCCAAATTTAACATAAAAATTTGTTTTATACCCCATTTTTTTAGGATATAATTTTACTTAAAGTCTGTTATGTTTGACCAAAACTTATGAGTACCACTTACAAAAATTACACTATAAAAAGTTGCGTACTTTCTTAAAAGAAACCATAAACATCTAAGCTTTGCCTAAAATTGATGAAATGAACAAAATACAAAATGATTTTCAAAGTATGTTATTAACCCTATAATTAATGTAATAGTGTATTTTTTTCAGACATTGTTAATATGTGTCCCATCTCTTCCACAATGATTCCATTAATATAATTATTTCACATACTTATAAATTAAATTGATGTTTACAAAAAAGCATATTATAAATTGCATTTTATTTTATCAACATTTATTATGTAGTTACATTGTGCCAAGCATCAAAACCAGCACTTAATTGCAACAAGCTCACAAATTGCTATAAATGCAATATAAAACTTCCTCTTAGGTAATACAAGTCATAAACAAAGTATTTAAAGTTTTATTATTTTCCTATCTAATAAATAATATTCATACTTATTTTTATATTAAAATACACATTTTTTTCATTTGAATGCTTTTGTAAATCAAACAAAAAAATGAAAATACAAAAACTGGCCTACCTCTACAACTCTTATTTACCAAGATAAAATTCACACCACTCATCTTAATCCATAACTTGATGTTTATTTTAATGACAAGTGTTTGTTAGGCATTTATTGTGTGTCAGGCACTGGAGTAGGAGCCAGGGATCCAAAGATAACATTCATGGACTAATCTGTGTCACAAAGAAGTTCCCAGAATTGTGAAGAGGATTTTATTTTTCCCTTCCTCAGTTGCAACCTTCATAATCTGCCTAGGTTGTACCAGCTCCAAGTCTGCAATTCTGTCTGATACATTTCTGCCACCACGGTCTAGAATATTGCCACATGTTCATCCCTAATGCCTACTGAGTAACTTTCCTGATATTCGTGATGTGTCAACCTGTCTACATTACAGAACATGGCCTCATCTTAGAAACTGTTTCATATGCCTTGTGGAGCATCTTTCTATCACTGACACACCAAGCTGGACATCACTGATAACCACTATTTGTCCACAGTTCCCTCTGGTACCCACCACTTATGTTTCAAGATATCATGCATCAACAAACTCACCACTCCAGCATGGCTTCTCCTGGATTACAACCCATTTTTGTTTGTAACATCCTCTGTTAGTCCATCCTTTTCAGGGCAGCTTGGGTGGCGGAAAGAAATATCTCTCATTTAGTCATTTTCTTCATAGAAGGAAATTCTACCCAGAATAAAATTCTATTCTGAATCTAAATAAAAAGTCAGAAACCCCAGTTAACCTTTTTCTTCCATTAATTTGTTTCATAATTGGTCTAAATCATAGTTAATGCTTATTTTTCAAAATATTACCTTCAACTTTTCCAAAGCTAACATTTCATAAACATGGAAAAAAGAAAGCTCAAAGAATTCAAATGATTTTTCCAAGGTCACATACTGCTAGTTAATGTTAACAATGGTATATTTTTTCTTACTTCTAAGACTGATTTGTGTGCTAAAATATCAGACCTGGCAGAAAAATCCAGTCAACGTATTCACAAAAATTTCTGAGTCCTATTACTTGTGGGGCAGAACATTAACAGATAGATGTTAAAAAATTATCCTCAATGAATCTAACTGATTATATACAGCTGATTATGTATCCCATAGGTATCTGATATTTTTCTAGTCTGTGTACAAGATAATAGCATAAAAGTGGTATTTGCTCTATAAGAAAGAACAAAAGATGCTTATGTAGAAAATGGAGGTCAAACATATATATGCATATGTATACATATGTATGCATGTAAACACACACAGTGTATAAATGAAGATGTTAAAATAATGCCTATTTCTCAGCCACGCCGTCATTAGTTCATTTGCTATAAATACAAATATTTATATTAAACTTCTCCACGGGTCAATTATAGGGCCCACTGAAGACGGTTTAATATCAAAACTTAAAAAAACAATACAAGCAAGTGAAAAATATTATTTCTAAAATAGGAGCTCTAAATTCTGAACATGTAGCACTGGCTGTAGTATCTGACATCCGTGTGAAATCAGTTTTGCCCAAAATATGCAGCTCATGCTGTGACAGTGACAGTGATGTGCACTGTTTAATGTCAGTTCGAGAGGAGAGGCCACAGCAGAGTGGAAAGGACCTCACTCAACATGCATTTCATGACACTATGGAATCACTTAAGAACCCTGACTGGAAAGTGACTGAACAATAGGCAGATATGACATTTGCTTTTTGACCATTTAATAAAAAGAGTCTACCAGGGTGTCTTCCCTTTTGATTAAAAGGGAATTTTTATTCATTTTACCATTCTGTATACCCAAATATTGGCCATGCTTTTTGTATATTCAGTGCAAGATGGCATATTAATCCAGTAACATTGTTGCTACATTGACAAATATTTAACCATCTTTGTTCTGCTCTGAGAGGGCACTATTGTTGGGAACAGGCTACTCACATCCTGAACCAAACAGTGAGCACACATGGACAAAAATATGGGAATAACAGACACTGCAGGCTAGCAGAGGAGGGAGAGAAGGAGAGGGTTGTGGGTGGAAAAACTACTTCTTGGGTACTATGCTCACTACCTGGGTGATGAGGTCCATACCCCAAATCTCAGCATCACGCAATATGTCACCTGTAATAAACCTGCACATGCACCCTCTGTATCTAAAATAAAAGTTAATATTAAAAAACAAAATGAAATAGCATAGTCATTTCAGTTAATGGCAAAAACTAAATTACACAATAATATTTTGCACTATTGCTGACTAGCGGTTATTCATTAGCTAATAGTTATTCCAATATTGTGAAATTATTTGTTTCACCAGTAGAATTCCTTCTTTGTGACCCAATGACCTAGCACCATACCTTTAAAATTCCAAAAGTTATTTATTCCTGGTATGCACAGAAAGATTTATGCCTACTGCACATGATTATATAACCACCACTACTGAAGGAAAGCTTTATTAACCAAATATCTCAAGGAAATCAACATTCTTGTCAAGTCTCATTAACTGCATGAGGTGAGCTAGAAAGATAGATAAATGAGCCTTAAATATTTTTGTAAGTTCTTAATTTTATTTTCTGCAATACTTATTGTATGGTGAAAGGTGTAACCCCTGGTAAAGCCCAACAGCTATGTTCTTATAATAATACTTTGAATCTAAGAAAATAGTTTTCTGTAAACAAAATCAAACAGAAAAAAAAAAGTTGCCATTATTAGTCATGAAAAATGCTTTGGCATGTCTATATGTATGTATGTAGGCAACATCACTTTCTTCTTCATTGACCATGCCTTGGCCTTAATTTTACACCTCATTCACTGAAGGGGACTCACCTCACACAAATCTATAATGCTGATGGCTTTCACAGTGGGAAGATCTTATTAATTTATTAATCATTTTATTATTTTTGACATATTTAATTTCTCCCATTAATTACATGTTTCACAAATGTGAAAAATGACTGTGGTTGGTGGTCATTTTATGAGAATCCAATATCTGTTCCTCTATTTCTCAGCAAATGCATATCCAAAGAAAATGTCAGTACTATGTCATCTCTAACTCGGATTTGTAGGCAACAAAGCTCTATGTATGGGAATTTTTCAATCTGGCAGGTAGACTAGGCTCCTACAGCAAGTAAATCCAGAAGTGTCGCCTGGTAGAGCTCTCCAGACCTTGTGGTTTAAAGAGATTCTCAACAGAGAGAAAGTCCTCCCTCCCCAGCAGTCCTATCGTCAGCATGCTATCTCATTGTGATGCTCTTTTTACTTCCCTGCAGTGTTCCTGAAATAATTGGAAATGAGGGAGAGCTTCTTGTCAGAAATGGTTTAGGGTCTTCTGTTATAGAAACAATCATCCACAAATCTTATGATTTGCTTCACCACAAGTGAGAAAATTAGCAGGTAGTTTATAAAATTAAAGAGAGAAAACAAAGCTTTTGGCTCAAAGTATTGTTTTACTAATTTACCTAAATCAGTTTTTAGCTGAATCAAAATTATTCTCTTTTTTACCATTGACAAGGCATAAGAACAAAGACCAATTCAAATCACATTTTTCCTTTCTTAACAGTCTGCAACTTAGTTAACTTAATTGAAGTAATTTGTTTTAAATTTGGGGTTAGAATATTGCAGGAAGCCTCGGTTAGGGAAACAGTCTCTTAGTGATCTATGGCTTTTGTGCATATACGGCCTTCTGCTCTATGATACACATAGAAGACAGAACACTTATTGAGGAGTTGCTTTAAAATATGAGGTTTAGCCCTGAAAAATGAAAATCTTATTTTAATATTTTATTCACATAAATTATTTTATACATAAATAAAATGTAAAGATGACTATTTTGAGGAAAGTTACTATTGTTCAATGTGATGTAGCAGAAGAGACTCCCATAGCGCCCTCTGCCTCCTTTCTACCCAGAATAAAACAATACTTTCTTGATTTGCTATTACAATTGTATTGCCTGTTCTGGTGTTTTACAAGTCACACCTTACAATTGGAATTGACCTCTGCTTCCTATGGCTTCCACTCCTGAGAGCTGCAATTATGAGTGTGTCCTCAGGTGCTTTCCTCATTTAGACCTGAAACTCAATTTGTCCCCACAATATGTATTCTGTGTTGAGACAAGATAAATATAAGCAGGAAGAGACAGAAGGGTTTCCTATGTCTGGTAATAGCCGAAATAATTTGGAAGAAGGATCCCTGAAGTAGCTTTAATTACCCATGTAATCCTGAGTAACGATATCTTTCAAAGCCTAGAAAAATTAAGAATGCCTCATTTCTCTGGGCAAGATTGTACTCTGGTTATTTTTATTGAAAAGATATGGAAATTGCAAAATACCAAGAGCCAGACCAGTTAAAAAGTTCCAAACTCCCTTTAGCTTACATCCAAGTCTGTGACAAGTTGAATCTAGATATTACCCACACTGCTCTTGCCCATACTCAGTCTGAAGCTAGGATTTTTCAGTCTCTCAAAAGACCCTTGCCTCCAGAGAAAGTGTCACACATTCCATGAAGGCGAAGAAAATTCATATATTCATCCATCCACCCATCCATCCATTCATTCATTCAATGCTATTCTCCTCTATATGCCACATACTCCCCTATATACTGAGGGTACAATACTAAAACAAAATGAATAGGTAAATAAACCCATTTTTCTAATGGAGCCTACATTCTACTAGGAAGAAACAAACTACAGATACATAAGTATTTAAGTTAGAATTTACGGTGTAAATGCAATGAAGAAAATGAGGCCAGTTAAGGGGACAGAGGGACAGTGGGAATTGCCATTTTAGCTAACATAGTCAAGCCCAAAGGGAGAAGGTGACATTTGACATGAAACCTGAAGGAAGTGAAGTGGGAAGTAACAGAGATCAGTCAAGTGTTTCACATAGGTCATAGAGAGCCTTGCTAACTCTAAATGTGGTCTGGGGACCATGGACAGAAGCATCAAACAGGAGCTTATTAGAGATACAGAATTTCAGGCCCCACCCCAGAACTCCTGAATCAGAATCTGTATTTTCATAATATCCGCAGGGGATTTGTGTGCACATTAATGATCAAAAAGGCCTAATAGTTTAGTAACTTAGTAGCTAAGTAAGACTGAAAAGCAAATATAGTTTCTAGTTTAGTTTCTTTCTATGCCCTATGCCTCCTTTTTACATTATATATGCACATTCATATCCTGCTTATTATAAAATGGACTAAAAGAAGACCACCTTACATGAATCCTTATTGAATTCTATAACAGATATTTTTCAAGATGACAAGAAAAAGTTTATGTTTATCTAAATGTGAGAGCTGTCACTAGTAATATTGAACCTAGTCCAGAACGTTGCATTATACCCTAGTATTGATCTGGAGTTTGAGAGCAGGTGCTCAGCTGCTTTCATAGATGAGGAAAAGGGCTTTTCCTCCTGCTCCCTGGTACCAGGCACAGGGCCAGGTAAGGAAGCAGCAGTGACAGAGGAGATGGGAAGGAATGCATCCGCTAAGCCTTCTGTCCAACTCCACACAAAGTCAGAGCCAGGCACTGTGCCGGCTCCCCTGCTGGGAGCCCCATTTGCCCCCACCTCAACCTGTAGCAGCCCTCTGTTCACCCCAGATGCTTGCCTCACTACCCTGCCCAACTGCTCTTCATCCACGCTGAACAGCAAAACCCTCTGCTTATGGCGCGCTTAACCATTCCCTCCTTCCCCGAGCCAAGTCTGTTCACAGGGTGCGGATAATTTGAAGCAGAATGACACCTTCAGGTATAAACCATCACTGAAGAAACACCATTTACAGATGCTTATTACTGCCCCAGTTATCACTGTATTTATAACATTGCCTCACAAAAATAAAACAGCATTCAACAAAACTACAAAATAAAAACTATCAAACTTGCATGATGATTTATGGAAAAACAACGTCATCCTTTTTCTTATTCCTGCTCTTTCCTTTGAAGAAATTTACCAAAATTCTTTTTTTCTAAGGTAGCTTTTTTTTTAAATCAGAAATAAACCACAGAGCATCTTACCAGATCATTCTTTCTTTGTACAACTGTATAGATTTCCAACCCATAAGCACAATACTAAAAGCTGTCATGGTGGTGTATCAGGGCTACAGTCATAGCAGGAGTTGGGCAGAATTCCAGAGCATTTACCATAGACCCCAAGTGTTCATTCATGTGAAAACATAAGTGATTCTAATGCTTCTAATATACCCATAGGGCAGAGAGCACATACAACTCAGTGTTTTTTTCTCTAGATATACCAATGCTCTTTTCTGAAAATATTTTCAAGGTTCTGTATATCATTATATAAGCAGTTAATTTAAAATGCTCTAATTTATTTCCTTCTTAGAAATTCTAAATGAAGAATCCTTATGGCCCACTAAAGTGTTCTGAAAAGGAAAACTGATGAAGATAATGGAATACCTGAGAAAGACAAATCACAAGTGCTGCCAGACAATGGGTGGTGGCATTCTTCACCAGACTTTGATTTCCTATAGGGTTTTCCCACCAGGTGTTCTGTGAAAGGTGTATTCATTGTTATACACTCCAAATCTCTATTCTTAAGTCTGTGCTTTATTCCTGGCTGGTCAGCTGCAGATAGGCCCCTCCATGAGAGTATGTTTCTCTCTTCAGCAATCAATTCTATGACAATTTGTTATGGTGACACTTACTTAGGTAAACATGCCCCCAAGTTACTGTGAGCACAATCTGATATTGCTAAACTTCAGGTTCTGCAATTCTTTACCACTGTCCTAGAGCAATCCAAGACCTCTGTAACTTACAGAAGCAGAACAAGACTGGAATATGCTTTAAGATCAAGCTAGCTGCTAGACAGTATTCTTTTATTCGTTATTAATTATTAACATTATTTCTATTACATTATTTATAGTATACCTAATTTCAAAACATTTACAGTACATTAAAACACATACATAGACTATTAACATTTGGGGGGAATAAAGATTTAGAATAGAGACTCACCCAAAAGGATAGTTTTTAAGCTTTTTTGATAGTTTAATAAAAGCTATGAATCTTCTCCACCTCAAAAAAAATACAGATTGAACATTTTGACATACAAGGTTAAAAAAAATCACAAACATTGAAAAATTCCTCAAAATTCCGGATTAAAGGGAATACATTCCAAGACCAAAGGTTGCAAACTCAACTGCTTAGGAGACCAGGCAGGTAACTGCTTAGGAGACCAGAGTGAAGTGGGCTGGGAGGAATATGATGAGAAGGTGGGAGGCCTGGACCAGAACTACATCTAAGCAGAGAAGCTGTTCAGCAGCTACTCAGTTCCTGCCTTCTATTTTCAATGTTTCAGTGTGGCTTCAGTGCTGTTGCCAAAGCTTCCATTTTTCAAGAGAAAACTCAAGTCTAGATAAAATGTGTCAATGCTTAAGTTTTAGTGGCTAATTCAAATTTGTTTAAAATGTTATGCAGAAAAAGAAATACCAAGAAAACTAAATAAAATAACCATAATTATAGCTGAATGACAAATGTCTGAAACATAAATACTTTGTGTATTTAAAAAGAGATTTAAATTATACTGATAAGTACTCAGTAGCAAAAGCTGGTATTTTCTCATAAAAAATTAACTGGCTAAAGAAAAATCTTTCCAGTTTACCTTCATTGGCTGAAAACTATAGTATTACCAGAAGATAAGGCCAAGACTTCCCAAGGAAGCAGCTTTAGGTCTGCCTAAAGAATATGAAAATGTGCATCATGAAGGCCACAGTTTCCCATAGAGAAAAACATTTTTGTCTGGGAATTCCTGAAGATAGTAGCTACAAATCAGTGGCTTCAACCCTTAAAAGGCCTTAGCATGGCTACTACAGCACATTTGTTCTTGCGCAGACTTTATGCTGATTGACCAACCAAGATCACACTAGCTGCAAAATGCTCCCTCAGATGACTCTATGAACTGAACCATGAAATGGAGTTATTTGCCATTGCCCATGTAAGTGATAAAGAGCATCTGCATAAAATAGTCATTGTGTTTCTATCACTAAAGGCAACAGTAAAGGTTTCAGTCTGCTTGACTTGAAGCAAATTACTAAGTAAACCTAATATGACTATATTTCTCAGAGATTTTTCTATTCCCCTCCCAAATAGGTAGAAACCTATGATGGTGTGGATGAGGGTACCCTGAAAACCAGTAGGAAGACAGCCTCAATTCTGCTCAAAAATACAAAATAAACTATTGAAAACTTCCTTATTAAACCAACGTATGCCTGTGTCCTAATGCGTTATTATACCACCAGGAAACAGTAAAACAAAAGACCAATTTCTATAGCCTAGTAGTGTTATTCTTTCCTGTTATTATAGAATGGTCTCATGAGGTGGTTGAGCATTTATCTAGTTGCAAAGCATCCAAATTTATTTTCCTGACTGTTCTGGAAATTCTATAAGCTACTTATTTCCATATAAGTTGCCCATTTTGCTTAAACTGGCTAGAGCCAGTTCTGCTTAAGAAAATCTGAACCCTAACTGATATAAAAAACCAGAATCTCAGAGGGATGGAATTTTCTTATGTTTTACAAGACGGGAATGTTGCACTCCCAGCCTCACTAGACAGTACCCTCCTCCAAGAATGGCATGGAAGCAGAAAAACAACCAAAACAGAAAAAACAGTCTGCGGACTGGGACAAGCATTCCATCACTAACCAATGTTGTTTTGTTTTGTTTTGTTTTGCTTTGCTTTGTTTTGTTTTGTGTTTTGTCTTTAGTTTTTTTGCTAACTGCCCTTGACCAGAGGGCGCAGCTCAATGTGCTGATGCTGTAGAAGATCTGAGAACTTTTGCACAAGTCTGGGTAAGGGAACGGGTTGAATAACAATGACAAAATTGAATTTTCAGCTAGCTAAGCAAGATGGGACCTCTGAGTTAAGTGTAAATTGATTTTTAAATATGAAATATTATTTCTTGCACTCTTGAATTTATTGAGTAAAATTCATATCCATAATAACAATAATATTTGTCATCATAACAAGCTTAACAATACTGATATAGCACATTTTGATTTGTGCAGAATTTTCACTTATATGACTCAGACTGCAATCAGCCTGACTTACTATCAGCATTCCTGCAAAATATATAACAATTCTCATCTATATTTACTAGGACAACAACCGTAATGTAGGATGATCAAAAAGAAATTCAAATTAAGGAAATAAAAAAAAACAGCTACAGAAAATGAAGTTAAAGTAAAAATGAACTACAATATTTTATTGAAAAGGAAGGCAAAAAATTAAATATATTTCCAAAGCATAGGATCTCTGTAATATTCAAAACTAAACAATAGTTATTAAGAAGAATCTGACTCCACTTGTTATCTTAAATTCAAAATTAACAGTCTCCTAGTATAAATTTTATTTTCTCAGAGCAAACTGCTGTTTTGAAAATCTTGTCATTACTACTGGAGTGAGCTCAATGCTCCTAGGTATTCTTATTTAAGTAGTAAGATTAGCTTTCTCAGTACAGACCCAGGTTTTCATATTAACCTAATGTGGCATCTGGATAAGAGATGAACAGTGTTATGAGGAAACAAATGCAGTTTCTATTGGATCTTAGTGGTTCTACTCAGTCCAGCCCAAATAAAAATGAATCTAGCTTATAAAACACCACATAGATTGGCAAATGTGTATTTTTGAATTACAACATTTTAAAATTTAATGAAAATATATGCATTTAATGAAGCAATTTTTTTCATCCAACTAATATTTACTAAGTTCTTACTCTTTGACAGCACTGTTCTTGCTTATACACACACACATAGATACCCAGACACACACAGCACTCGCACACACACAAACCAAGTGGTAATAAATTCTGCGCATGTAAAAACATAGAGTTGTGAGGAGTGTTAATTAGGTAGATGTAGATGGTCAAGGAAGGCCTCTTTGACCTCTCTGATGAGACATTAGATCAGGGACCATAATGAAGTGAAGTTATGATTCATGATGATGTCTCTAGAAAAACATGATAAACCAAGAGAATATAAAATGCAAAGGTTCTGAAGCCAAGTATGCCTGGTGTGACTGAAGGGCAGAATGAAGGCCAGTGTGACTGGAGTTCAGTGACCAAGGGGAAATGAGGTAGAAGATGAACTCAGAGAGACAGCAGGAGCCAAAATGGGTAGACCATGGTATGGTCTTGAAGTTTATAATAAATGGAATGAAAAGCCTTTACAGGATCTTGAACTGAGGAGTTACATAATATAACTTTTATATTAAAATATCAATCAGGCTACTGTGAGGATAATAGATTGTAGGAAGCAAAAGTGAAGAAGGCAGGTCAGTTAGAGGCTACTGCAATAATTTCAAAGCAAAATAACCGTTGTTTGGAATAGTGTGGTAGTAGTGGAAGTAGTAAATATGGATATATTTCAAAGGTAGAACAAATAGAAGTTCCTGATGGATTGAATGCAGGAGTCAGTAATGCCTCCAGAGTTTTGACCTGAGCACCACCAAGTAGACTGGAGTCGCTACTTTCTAAATCAAGGAAGACTACAGTAGGATCTGGGGCAGAAGAAAAATTTATCTTGGACATCTTAAGTTTGAAATGCTTATTAAATCTCCATGGGTAGATGTCAGAAGATAATTGTTTATGTGAGTCTAGGCTTCATGAGTCTATAACTCTGAGAGTTGTAGCATTTATACGTCATTTGAAACCATGGGAGTAGATGAGAAACTAAGCAATAAATGTTGATATAAAATAAAAGAGGGGCCAAAGCACTGAGCCCTATGACATTCCATTACTTAGAATTTTAAAAGATAAGAAGGAAAAAGAAAATAATGATTCGGATGGTGCATGCATTGAAGTAGAGGGAGAACCGAGAGACAGTGGTTCTAAAGAGCAACTGAACTTGCTTCAAGAAGTGGGAAGTGACCAGCTGTGCTGAATCCTGCTGATGGGTTGGGTGAGATGAGTACTGAAACAATACCCATTGGATTTTGCAAGTGGATGGCAGTTGAGGCTGTGAAGAAAGCAACTTTGGAGGTGTGATGAAAATAAAAATCTTACGCAGAGTGAGTTTAAGATAAAATGAGAGAAGAAATAGGACAAAACAATATTCATAGTTTAGCAATAAAGATAAAGAGGCTGTAAGTGGAGAGGAAAGTGAGAACAAAAGAGTTTTTCTGGTTTTGTTTCTTTTTTGTTGTTTATCTATAAAAGAGAAGCATGTTTGTATTCTAAAAGTTAATTTCCAATAAATAAAAGAAAATGATACTGAAGACAAGAAAAGAAGCATTAGCTAAGAGATTTTGCAAACTAATTGACTAGAAAGTGGGTGAAATGCATAACTGTACGGTTTGCTCTTAGAAGCAAGAACTGTTCATCCTTTGTAACGGGAAGGAAATGAGAATATGTCAGTACTAATGAGAAGACTGGTGGAGAAATATGTAGTAATTCTCTTCTGATGAATTATATTTTGTTAATGATGAAACATTAAGGATTACTGTTTGAGAGAAAAGAGGTTAGAGGAAGTATTGGAAGTTTGCAAAGAGAGAAGAAATGGAACAGAGACACTGGTTTTCAATAGGGCAATAGTGAATGCAAACATCTGTATTTCCATACTTCCTCCAAAACACTCTACAGATCAAAAAGACAGAGCAAATAAAACCACCCACAACACATAACTACAGAGTATCTAGGATAAAGATAATACTACAGACTTCAACTTACATCTAAGTATGGTAGTTAACATCTAATAAGTGGAGTCAGCTTCAGAAGCCAAGGTAATTCAGAGAAGGTCAGAGACTTCACAGAAAACAAGAGAGGAGGGGTCGAGCATAGAATAATACACATAAAATCATCCCCAGAAAAGGAGAGCCCACTCTAAGCAGGAAAATATTGAGAACTTCTCAGACAGTTAGCAGATCAGAGCACAAGTAAGAGGGGAATCAAAAGAAAGTGGCATAAGACTGCACATAAGAGGTAATTTAACCAAAAAAAGTGCAAAAAATATACTGAAAACTATAAAATATTATTAAGAAATATTGAAGATCTACATAAATGGAGGAATATGCCATGAACATGCATTGGAAGATTCAATATTGTAAGGACATTAATTCCCTCAAAACTAAGCTAAAAGTTCAAACTAATTCCAGCCAAAACACCAGCAAATCTCTGTACATGAGTCTATAAATGTTTGTGTGTGTAAGTAGAAGAAGTTGTAACAATTCATATAGAAATGAAAGTAATTTAGAAAGACAAAGCAAACTTAAGGAAGAATAAAACTGCATGATGGTAACAACATGTATTAAAAAGTACTAGTTAATACAGAGTATGGTCTGGAGCAATGATAGATAAACTAACAAATAAAACAGAGTAGAGTCCAGAAACACAGCTGCACAGATACAGTTGACTGCTTTATTTAACAGCTGGTAGTGCAGTGAAAATGTGGAAAGAATTATCTTTTCAATAAATGGTGCTGGATCTAATTGTGTATCTGTATACATAATGTATATCCAAAATGTATCTATATTACAACTTGCCACCAGACACAACATTTATTTTCAGAAGGATCACATATATAAGTGTAAATGCTAAAACAGTGACATTTCCCGAGGAAGACATCGTTATGCCCTTAAAGTAAGCTAGATTTTCTTTTTTTTTCTTTTTTTTTTTTTTTTTTGAGACGGAGTCTCACTCTGTTGCCCAGGCTGGAGTGCAGTGGCGCCATCTCGGCTCACTGCAAGCTCCGCCTCCCGGGTTCACACCATTCTCCTGCCTCAGCCTCCCTAGTAGCTGGGACTACAGGCGCCCCCCACCACACCCAGCTAATTCTTTGTATTTTCAGTAGAGACGGGGTTTCACTGCGTTAGTCAGGCTTGTCTCGAACTCCTGACCTCAAGTGATCCACCCCCCTCGGCCTCCCAAAGTGCTGGGATTACAGGCGTGAGCCACCACACCCGGCCAATTTTCTTAAACAGAACGCAAAAATCAGGAAATCTTTTTCCAAAGAGGAAAAAAAGATAAATTGATCTGTATTAAAACGAAGAATGCCTATTCATCCAAAGACACTGTTAATAGAGTGAAAGCAACTAAGAAAGCAGAAGATATTTGCAATATAACATAACCAACAAAGAATTTGTATACTGAATATATGAAAAATACCTACAAAGCCGTAAGAGAAAGACAACTCCATTGAAAAAATGGACAAAAGACATTAGACATTTCACAAAAGAGCCAAATAAACATATGAAATTGCATTCAACCTTTTCCTCCAAGAAATGCAAATTAAAGCAACAATGTGATGCCACTATACACCAACCAAAATGGCCAAAATGAAAAGACAGACAATGCCAAATGTTTTCTCTTCTCATGGCCTATTCAATGCTTACTCATCATTTTAGACTCAGCTTAGATAAAAATGTGACGTACTGTGAACATCTGCCAGCAGTGTACACAGATAAGCCACCCTGTCCTCTGACCTTCCATAGAACCTGTATGTCTATTTTTTGTTTTGCTTTGTTTTTATTTTGTTTTATCTTTCTAAAGGGCTTTGTCATCAGACAAAACTCAATTTAAATTCTGACTCTGAGATTTATTATCTCTGTATATGTAAAAATATTCCTTAACCTTAGTTTCTTAGTTTCTTTATCAGTTAAAATCAAGACACTAATTCATATCGTCTCAGTCCCCATCTTCATTACTACTATTTCTGCAATATCTTCCTACCCAACAAGAAGCTAGAACAACACTTTGGGAAAAGGTATTTCCAAACCATTTCCATGTTGGAACAGGCTCTGTCTGCAGAGAATTCTTTAATTAAGGTATTTCACTAAAAATAAATACTACTACCAACAACACCTCTATAAAACCATTAACTACCTGACCAAAAATGAAGAAATAACAATAGCAAAAACTGTAATTATGTCCCTCTGAGGAGACTGACATTTTTCAAAATGTATACCATATATAAAATACCAACATATAGAAAAGATTGAGAGATAGACTGGGCACAAAGAAAACTCTTAGATTCACCCTTGGAGTGTTTTTATGTGTTGGGATGTATTGGGAGGGGCACAAGATGGTAAAAATAGTTCTGGTTCTGCATTGTGCTACCTACTGTCATCAATGACAGCAAATGGATCTCAGCTCCAAATTTGTAGTCACGGACTCAGGGCAGTGAGCCTCAGTGATTATCTAGGGTAATATTGTCTGGTGTATTTCCCTTGCTTTTAATGGCAAAGCCTTTGATTTCATTCTAGTAGCACTAATTAATTATGCATTAACATTGCCAAGTGAGAGAAAGATTTTACCCTAAATTTACAAAGACATAAAAAAGGTTAAGTAACCTTATCAAGGTCACACAGCAGGCTATCAACAGAGCCAGGCATAAGCCACTTGAATATTCACTAGCGAAATATTTAATATTAAAAACAAGTTTTCCCAAAATACTGTCAAGTGTAATGAACACTGCATTTTGTATATAGAATGAAAAATGAGAATGCTCTGAGGGAAAACAGTGAAATGACTCACTGTTGGGTCTAGCTGAAAGAAGAACACTCATTACAAATGTTCCTGTGTTTCAATCCACTTTCTAAAGAAATTCTGAAAAC